>NC_000004.12:134072896-134375926 GCF_000001405.40 Homo sapiens | reverse complement strand
ATGTTAAGTGCCATTTCAATGCTATAAATTCTCTACTCTGTATTATATAAGGACTTTTAAGACAAAGCTCACATTGCCTTACTGATTCCTCATGTAATCTTAAGTGTCTACTCTCACATGAAGTACAATTGCAATTATTGCATGGTTACATTTAGAAGTTGCATCTTTAAAATAAAGATAACTATTATCATTTGATTGTTTTCAAATGATTACTAATTATATGTAATATCAAAATACCTTCAGTATTTATACTGATAGATATCCTTTGTGTTACATTGTAGGTAAATTTTCAAAACTAGAAACATTGAATCCACAGGGTGAGATGGGAGAAGAAAAGGGTTGATGTGACTTAGGATGCTGACCCATGTTAGTGGAACTGGAGACTTTCAGGACATGATGTTTGTATGTGACTGATAATGAAAGAAAGGGAAGCCAGGTAACATGGTCAAACATTACCATCAGGTCAGTATAAAGTGATCTCGGTGATGTTCCAGATTGAGAATATTGTGATCAAACAATGTTCAAACTTGCTACATAAAAGTATTAAAACTGGTTAATATAGATAGGCAGAAGAACATAATTGTTAGGCTCATGGGCTCTTGAACAAGACTACATAATTTCATATTCTATTAATAAGTTCACCACTTACTAGCATAGAGACTATAAGCAAAATAATCAACTCCCCTGATTCTTAGTTTCATTTTCTACAATAATAATGACAGCATTATCTTCCACGAAGCTTCTGAAAAGATCTAGTGACATAATATACATAAAGTCCTGGCTCATATTAAGCACTTAAAAAACATTGGCTTTATTCTTGATATTATCATTATTGTCACTATTATCATCCTCAAAGTTTCTTGCCAAGAAATTTGGATTTGACAAGATTTTTCTCCAGAATAAAAAGGTTTATTCTGGTATCATCTCAAATATAGTAGAAATCTGCAACATAAAAGCACATCACCACATCAACATTTAACGTAACAAACAGGATGTAGAGTTTCATTAACTATTCACATTTCCCATCCTTCTCCCCCTTTTCTATAAATTTTTACAAAGATATTTTGGCTATGAGTGCCTAGACATTGGAAGAAAGAAAAAAATAACATGAGGATATTTAACAGGATATTTATGAAGATGATACATGTTGGCATTAGTTTTATTTTTCCTTTTCTTTACCCAATCATGCCTCCATATTTCCTCAAAGGTAGAATAGAATGCTTTTCATGTCATTACAGTTTATAGCTGAATCGAGTTGAATATCTGCTGCTAGAGGAAACAAAGCCATCTGACTAGTTAATAATCTAAATCTGGTATTCTTTCAGGTTCAAGTGTTAAAATTAAAAATTTCCAATGTTTTTGTCTCTTTGGTTTCAAAAACCTGACAGGTACCCACAATGGGTCCTGACTAAAGGCCATGGTGGTATTTCAGGAAAGCTTAACATTTCACATGCTTTTTAAATTTTTGAGAGCTTTTAAAAAATTGTTTAAACAGTCTGCATACAATTTACTGAGACAGGCATTAAGTTGCAGTTTGAACATCCTTAATTTAAAACTTGAATACCAACACCCAGTTCCATATTCTTTTAATTTTGCTTAAAAAAACTGACTGTAAGAACAAACTGAAACCGAGATTAATCCCACATGTGTTTATGTTTTACGGGTAAATCTCCTCTTTGATGGACCTTTTAATAGGAAGAACTCCTTTATAAACCTAATTGTTTGAACACAAATGTAAGACCATTTACCTCTTTTCAGGTAGTTTATATTAATATAACTTAGAGTTATTTAATAATAGCCTAAAGGTTCTTAGCATTTTCTTTCTTCTATTTTTATTGGCAATGTCAATGTAGTGACTTTAAAAAAAAATTATTTACTTTTTTTTTCTGCCACACAAAGAAGTTTTAAATTAACTATACAAGGGATTCTTCAGTTTTTAAGAAATTTCTTCATTAAGGTTATTTTAAGTGCTCCCCCCACCGATTTTGTCTAACTTTTGTCTTCTACGTAATTTCAATACCTGTGAAAATATTGGAATGAATCTTTCTTCCTGAAAAATGTCATAAAATGGACCACACTAACACATAATTTAAAAAAAAATAGTAAATGTCAAAATCAAAATAAAATTAAGAATTACTCTGAAGTCTATAGTTACAAAAAACAAAGAAGCCCAACTTTATATTATAAACTGAAGAGTTTAAATCTTTAATCCATTTTAAGTTAATTGTTGTATATGGTGAAAGGTAGGCATTCACCTTCAATGTTCTGCGTAAGAGTAGCCAGTTATCTCAGCATCATTTATTAAATATGGAGTCCTTTCCCAATTGCTTGTTTTTGTCAGCCTTCAGGAAGATCAGGTGGTTGTAGGTGTGCAGCTTTGTTTCTGAGTTTTCTATGCTATTCCATTGGTCTATGTGGCTGTTTTTGTACCAACACCAAGCTGTTTTGGTTACTGTGACTTTATAGTATAGTTTGAAGTCAGGTAGTGTGATGCCTCAGGCTTTGTTCTTTTTGCTTAGGATCATTTTGGCTATTCGGGCTCTTTTTTGGTGACATATAAATTTTAGAAAAGTTTTTTTTTTCTAATTCTGTGATGAATGACGTTGGGAGTTTGATAGAAATAGCTTTGAATCTGTAAATTGCTTTGGGCAGTATGGCCATTTTAATGATATTGATTCTTTCAATCCATGAGCATGGAATATTTTTCTATTAATTTGTGTCATCCCTGAGTTCCTTCAGCAGTGTTTTGTAATTCTCCTTACAGAGATCTTTCACCTCCTTGGTTAGCTGTATTCCTAGGTATATCATTTTCTTTGTGGCTACTGTAAGTGGAATTGTGTTCTTGATTTTACTCCCAGACTGGATGTTGTTGGTGTATAGAAATGCTACTAATTTTTGTACATTGATTTGGTATCCTGAAACTTTACTAAAGTTGTTTATCAATTCTAGGAGCATTTTGGCAGAGCCTCTAGTACAGAATTATGTTATCAGTGAAGAGAGATAGTTTGACTTATTTTCCTACTCAGATGCTTTTTATTTATTTATCTTGCCTGATTGCTCTGGCCAGGACTTCCAGTACTATGTTCAATAGGAATGGTGAGAGTGAGCATCCTTGTCTTGTTCCTTTTCTCAAGGAGAATGGTTCAAACTTTTGCCCATACAGTATGATATTGGCTGTCAGTTTGTCATAGACGGCTTATTGCTTTGAAGTGTGTTCCTTCAATGCTTAGTCTGTTGAGGGTTTTATCATGAAAGGATGTTGAATTTTATTGAAAACCATCTCTACATCTATTGAGATGGCCATATAGTTTTTGCTTTTGATTTTGTTTATGTGGTGAATCACATCTATTGATTTCCATATGTTGAACCCACCTTGCCTCCCAGGACTAAAGTCTACTTGATGAGGCTCTATTAACTTTTTAATGTGCTGCTGGGCTCTATTTTGTAGTATTTTGTCTTGACATCAACCTTGACAAAGAATTTTTGACTAAGTCCCCAAAAGCAATTGCAACACAAACAAAAATAAACAAATGAGATGCAATTATACTAAAGTTCTTTTACAAAACAAAACAAACTATCAACAGACCAAATAGAAAACCTACAGAATGAGAGAAGATGATTGTAAATTATGCATCCAACAAAGGCCTAATGTCCAGAATACATAGGGAACTTAAATCAACAAGTAAAAACAGACAACCCCATTAAAAATAAGCAAAGAACATGAACAGATACTTCTCAAAAACAGACATACAAGCAGCCAACAAATACATGAAAAAATGCTCAGCATCACTAATCATCAGAGAAATGCAAATTAAAAGTACAATGAGGTATCATCCCATACCAGTCAGAATGGCTACTATTAAAATGTCAAAAAACAGATTTTGGTCAGGCTGTGGAGAAAAGGGAATGCTTTGGTGGGAATGTAGATTAATCCAACCATTGTTGAAAGCAGTCTGGAGATTTCTCAAAGAACTTAAAACAGAGCTCCCATTGGACCCAGCAGTCCCTATACTGGGCATATACCCAAAAGAAAATAAAGTTTTCTATTAAAAAGCTACATGCATTCTTATATTTATCACAACACTATTCACAATAGCAAAGACATGGAATCAACCCAGGTGCCCATCAACAGTGGACTGGATGAAAAAGTATGGAACATATAAACTATGGGATACTACACAGCAATAAAAAACAATGGAATCATATCCTCTGCAGAAACGTGCATGGAGATGGAGGTCATAATCCTAGGCAAATTAACACAGAAACAGAAAATCAAATTCTGCATGTTCTCACTTATAAGTGGGAGCTAAACATTGGGCAAATATGAGCATAAATGTAGGAACAATAGACACTGTGGACTACTAAATGGTGGAGAAAGGGGGATGCATTTAAAAAACTACCTACTGGGGCCGAGCACAGTGGCTCACGCCAGTAATCCCAGCACTCTGGGAGGCTGAGGAGGGTGGATCACGAGGTCAGGAGATCGAGACCATCCTGGCTAACACGGTGAAACCCCGTCTCTACTAAAAATACAAAAAATTAGCCAGGTGTGGTGGCGGGCGCCTGTAGTCCCAGCTACTCGGGAGCTGAGACAGGAGAATGGCACGAGTCCAAGAGGCGGAGTTTTCAGTGAGCCGAGATCACGCCACTGCACTCCAGCCTGGGACACAGAGCGAGACTCCGTCTCAAAGAAAGAAAGAAATAACAACAACAACAACAACAAAAACTACCTATTGGGTGCTATGCTCACTACCAGGATGATGGGATCTATACTCCAAACCCCAGGATCATGCAATGTTCTCATGTTACAAATTTGCACATGTACCCCCTGTATCTAAAATTTAAAATTAAAAATAAATTAACAAATAAACTGAAAGGTTATAACATTGAAGGACACAGGGATACCTCCTACACATGCATATGCTCACACATCTATAGGCTTGCATGACACAGATGGATACCACAAATCTTGAGTGTCTTTCTATGTAATAGCAAGACAAATGTTGGTAACTGCAGCATGCATCTGCATAATTCCCATTTCATAAGGAAGACAGAACTTTCTTCCCTATCACTCCTGGTGAGTTCTAAGGATTGTTTAATTATATTGATTTGTTTCACTTACAACCCTAACCTAGTCTTAAGATCACCCTTGCATTCAAGTGATAAAGAAATTCCACTCATATTACACGGACCAGAAGTGTACATTGAGAGGTTTTCAGGGACACTTCATGTATCATAGAACTTTGTGACCTGAACACCCAGAGGACTTCCTATTCACCTTAACTCAGATGTGTATGACACACCCTAAAATTGAGCAGTGCTCTAGCTTTTGTGACTTCCCAAGAGCGCTCTGTTCAGAACAAAAATTCTTGTCCAGTCATGGACTTTTCACCACAGTGTCTTATAATAACAATATTAGTGATTTTATTTAGCAACATCTGATGGCATTGACAATTTCTTTATCATGAAAAGGAGATAGAAAAAAATTGTGTATAATTAAACACAACATAATGGTGAGAAACATTTCTTGGAACATTTCACCATCAGCTTAGCTGCTGAAGAATATTTCATAGAAGGGAGTAGTGACTGATATCTCAGAGCTCATCTGTTACATCTTTCACAATTTTTAAATGGAGAAACAGAATCCTGAAAGGATAAATCTGGGCCCAACTTCCAGTTAATTTGATTTACATTACGAATACTGGTTAAAAGAGAAGAATGGGGAAAAAAAGGATATTAAGGGTTCATATCTTGGGGAAAGGGAAAGATCTTAGGCAAACAACTTCCTCAAGTATATTAATAATGTTATAATAAGCATAGGTAAAATGGGTGTTGTACTAATTACTTCTGTTCTTAAATTGTTAGAATCAGACACAGAGAACCAATAGCAGTACCTCCACTAGCTACTAAAGCTCCACAAAATGGCAGTTTTTTTATGCAGATATTAAATAGAAAATTGAGCTAACAATAATTGTTTTGCACTGTGTTTAGGGAAGATAATTTAACAAATGAAAAGTGTCCATCAGAATACGTAATACAGTGTGATACTTGGTAATTGTTAATTCTGCTCTGTGGTAGAGGATATTTGTTTTTTATCTCAATTTTGATGTGATATCCTAGAAATAGAAAAGCTATATGAATTCCATATTTCGGAAAAGAAATATGTATTTATTATACCCAATTTAATACCCAATAAAATATTTAGTTAAAATAATTTCCTTTGATATGTCCTTTCAGTGAAGGCTTTTTTGCATGGTACATTAAATAGATTTTTTATATTTATTATTCAAGCATACCTATATGATTGTGTGTGGTTTACAAATTGAGCAGTTCTAGTGTGGTAGGTAATTGCAGTGGAGTAAAACTAAGATTCAGATATGTCTAGTTTGTTTGGTGAGTTATTCCAATTAGCAGCCCTAGATATCTATTCACATCTAGTGCTTCAAAACAAGTGGTCACTTAGAGGATGTTATATTCTGGCACCAGAGAAAATTCAGGAAACTAGAGTGACATTGTGATATTTCTTTCCAAATCATATTTAATCACCTAACTGTATCCCTTTATATAGTCTTCAGACTGAAGCTGAAGGTCCTAGTTCCACTATTTTCCCATGGAGGGGATAGAAATCTGTAGCTATCTAGAGGCCCTGCTTTCAGATGATCTCATGGATAACAGACAGCAGTAAGGTGGACAGAACTGAAAGAATGTATAGGGACTGTTTATGCATAGTAGCAACTTGAGACCCTCAGAAATGAAAAAACTTAAGAGAAAAAAATCCAAAATATTTTTCATGTAGGTGTGCACAAAGTTCTAGGGATATTTGGGTTATTTCTTTCTAATGTGATTTTATTTTTACGCAGAGGTTGGGAGACTTGGAAATTGTAAAATTATGCACCCTTTAAAACAACAGTTAATATATGCTAATGACTCTTTAGACATTTATTTGGAGAAGTTTAACAATACTTTGTCCTAAAAAATTCTCCACATTGTTCTATGACGTTGCTTTAATATGACTTCACTGGGTGACTCCTTCTGATTACTGAGTCTCTGATACCTGTGTTTTGTTTTGTTTCTGTCTCAATTTGCACTGTTTGTGATCTTTGATAGCCCAAGGTAAATAGTACTGTTCAATTACCCACAGTTAATGAATTTGTAAAACAGGAAATTGGTGAAACGCTTATTATTTACCAGACACTATGCTAGAAAGTGGGAATTTAATAATAAGGAAGGGATGATATTTTTCCTCTCCTTTACAGTTTGGCTGGGAAGAAAAACACTGAAGTAGTAACTTCAAATATGATGAATTTGACAAAAAGGATGTGCTTGATGCTATAGAGGAACATAAAAGTGGGAGGTAATCTAGATTAGAGTTTCAAGAAAGTCATTTCTCTCTAGGTGAAAACAAAGAAGACCTGTAAATTGGAAGTGTGAGCTGGATTAAAAGTGGTATTTCAGGCATAGGGAACAGCATATGTCAGGACCTGATGCAAGAACAAGGCATATTATTCAAGAAGGAGTTAGAAATCAGTACAATTAGACCACACAATGCAAATGGAAGATATAGGAAAATGAAGCTTATGAAAACAGGCATAGAATAAATTATGGGCTGTCTACAACAAAAAAAAAATTGCTTAGATTCTATTATAGCCTTAATAGAAGCAATGTAAGCAAGAGAATTAATTTATAGATTTTCTTTTACAATGATTTAACATATGCAAATTAAACAATCTTGATTTAGTGATTTAATAATGTTTAAAAATTGCCGCAATATTTAAACCAGATTAACTAATATTAACTTTAACATTTGAAACCTTATTGATTGTGTAGCTGGTAAAAGGGAACATAAATGGGCCAAATAATGGGACCTTAGTATTTGCAAAAAAAAATTATATATGTATGTGTATACATATATACATATATACACACATATACATGCATATACATACATATATATACACATTACATACACTTATTCACGTATTTTCATATTTTAAGATACTAATTTTGGCAGATATTTGGTAAATTTTAATTATTTTAAATATTTAAATATTATCTCTTCCTTCTGTCATGATAAGCACTCCAAAAGCCAGGTTCTTACTGGCTTTGGTAAGTCACCAGCAGGGCAGAAGCGGAAGCTTGGTGACCCAGTTACTTTCTTGCTTCTCATTCCCATTTGTTCTTTGTATGGATGTCCTGTCTGCTGCAGAAACAGGGAACAGGAGAGGAATAAGAGAAAAATGTCAAAGATAGATAAGAAAAACATATTGGTTGCAAGTTTTCAGATTTCTTCTTTGCTGATTTGTTTCATCTACCTCTGCCTTGCCATTGGCTTTCAGAGTGCTGTTGGCATTCAAAATGCTGTCTTTCTCTCTGGATATGTTTGATGGTTTTCAGGCTGTCCCACAACACTGCTCCCTGTACTGTTCTCTGATTTGAGTGAGCTTAGCAAAGTGAAATGCTCTTTATACCACATTTTTACAACTTTCCTTCTATCCCATACCCTCTTGTTGCAGATACTTTGTGCAAGCTCACCTCTTCTGCTCCTCTGAGAAACACATCGACCCTTGCTACACCACGAGGTGGAAATCACAATTGCTGCACACTCAGTGTCACGGTCTCTTCTTTATTTTACATGCCCATATTGCAACATCCATCAGTGGTATGAAGACTTATGAGAATTCAACGGGGCTTTCTGAGTTTAGGAGTAAAGTGGTGAGGAAGTAGGAACACTTGACTTCACCTACCCATTACTGAAAGGGAGGAGGGAAAGTATTCATGCTGCATAAAATACTCTTTTCAATGTAACAGTTCTTGCTATTTTGTTATCCTGCTCTCTCTTACTGAAAAAGCCAACAAACTAATACATTTTAGTAGGAAAGTTGATATGGAACATCTGGCTCTAACACCAGAAATAAGACCATATGAAGCATGGTGTTTTACTTTGCAATGTTGAATTATTTTCACAATATAGCTACACATTCTAGATGTTCTTCTGATAGGAATAGGAGAAAGGGTGTCTTAGTCACTTTCTAGCACATATTCCTCTCATTACAGTGAGAAGGTGGAAATACAAAATGCAGTGAGACCTGTAGGGAGGCTATGGAAATAATTCAGGGGGAAAAAGTTTGCTTCAAATAGAATCATAGCATTAAAAACAGAAGGAAGTGGATAGATTCAGTAAAAGAGAGAAAATTAACAGTGCTGGTGATTTATTTTATGTAAAGAGTGAGAGAGAGGAAGAATTAAACTCTCAGATGTTATTTGATAAACAAGGTGAGTGAATGAGTAGATGCTGATTTGATCGCAAAATATTTAAAAATGTGAAGTCATCAGGACTCAGAGTCTGATTATAAACGGAAATTAAGGGAAAGAAATAGGCAAGTGGTGATTATGAACTACCCTTTAATAAACATATATGAGGAAGGAATATGAAAATGAGTTGAAAGTTTATGGTGAATAAAGGCTTGTTTTAGGTTTGGAGAGAACTAAGAGGAGAGTGGAGCCAGTAGCAAGGAACTAGTCGATGGTACAAAAGAGCTAGACAGTAATGGATGGGCAAAGATCAGTTCATGGTGATAGGTGATGCGATTGTCCTTGAACAGGTTTTGGTCTTAGAAAAACAGTTGACGATTAGGTATGTTTTCAGATAAATCAGTGGACATGGAAATAGGAAAGAGGAAAGCAAGAATATGAAAGGCACTAACCTTGACTTAATTGTCTCCATGCAACAGGAAACAAGATCTGACTGAGCAGCAGTTAGTTACTTGTCTCTTAGTCCAGTAGTGAACACATATTTGTTCAATTATTCACTAATTTATTGGGCAGTATCTATGGCAATACAGTATGTTAGGAACTATTTTAGGAAGAATGGATACAATTTTCAACAGGATACAACAGACCTCTGATCTCAAGCAATCAACATTTTTTTTTTTTTTTTGCAGTATTTGCAAAGTCATGCTCCATAAGCAGATGTAGTCTAGTGTTCAGGAACACAGGATTTGGAATGGAATACCTGGTTGTATTAGGCCATTTTCACGTGGCTGACAAAGACCTACCCAAGACTGGGCAATTTACAAAGAAGGAGGTTTAATTGGACTTACAGTTCCACGGGGCTGGGAAAGCCTCACAATCGTGGCCGAAGGCAATGAGGAACAAGTCCCGTCTTACATGCATGGCAGCAGGCAAAGAGAAAATGAGGAAGACGCAAAAGTGGAAACCCCTGATAAAAACCATCAGATATTGTGAGACTTATTCACTACTACCAGAACAGTATGGGGGAAACTGCCCCGGTGATTCAATCATCTCCCACTGGGTCTCTCCCACAACACTTGGGAATTATGGGAGTACAGTTCAAGATGAGATTTGGTTGGGGACAGAGAGCCAAACCATATCACTGGTTTTGAACTTTAGCTCTAGTGCTTATGAAATGTGTGACCCTGGGAATTTACAAACTTTCTCTGTTTCAGAGTGTTTTTTTAAATCTAAGAAATGGTGTCTTTTTAAATGTATAAAACTGAGTTTTGGTAACTGAGATTACTTATATTAAGAGCCCTCTTTATTATTAATTATTACTATTATAGCATAAACTTCATGAGGACAGGATTCATATTTCTTATAGATCTCTCTGTTTCTTCTCCCTGGAATATAGTTTGACACACAGTAATTGTTAAAAATATTTGTTAAATAAATATTAACAATAAATTAATAAAGCAATTTATCTTTCAATAAGGTTATACACTTTGAACTAAACAAGACTGGTGTCATACCTACCATGCTTCACAGAGTATCTAAAATCCCTATGTATATTACGCAACCTGTGTCATATAATGTAGCTCTTGACACTAATGTTATGATAAAGGATAACTTTGGAAATCCCTGGTAAAGTGTGTGATAAATAACATGTTTACTGATAAAATAGTTACCATTTCTTTTGTCTGGGACTATAAAAGAAATCTAAAAAGAAAACATTCAAAAATATATTTTAAAATAATTATACTTAAAATCTATGTAAGTACTTATGGAAGCTTTCCTTATACAATTTAGTGAAGAATATGTTTGCTATTAAGTATATACAATAGTTAACTATAGGAGTATACTTTTATCGAAGACAATCTATTTAATAAAGTAAAATTAGAGATATTTGTCAAAAATAGCAGAGTAGAGGTTGATATGGTTTGGGTCTGTGTCCCTGCCGAAATCTCATGTTGAATTGTAATTTCCAGTGTTGGAGGAGGGGCCTAGTGGGAGGTGACTGGATCATGGAGATGGACTTACTCCTTGCTGTTCTCTTTCCCCTTGCTGTTC
The DNA here is from genome assembly GCF_000001405.40 of Homo sapiens. Lineage (NCBI taxonomy): Eukaryota > Metazoa > Chordata > Mammalia > Primates > Hominidae > Homo > Homo sapiens. The sequence goes on along the minus strand of NC_000004.12, from coordinate 134,364,622 downwards.
CCTTGTGACAGTGAGTGAGTTCTTATGAAATCTGGTTGTTTAAAAGTTTACTCCCTATTCTCTCTCTCTTCCTCCCTCTCCAGCCATGTTGGACATGCTGGGTTTCCCTTTGCATTCTGCCATGATTGTAAGTTTGCTGAGGTCCCCTCAGCCATGCTGCCTGTACAGCCTGTGGAACTGTGAGCCAATTAAACCTCTTTTCTTTACAAATTGCTCAGTTTCAGGTAGTTCTTTATAGCAATGTGAGAATAAACTAATACAGAAGTCAAGACAGAAGTCAAAATACTGTAAAACATATATGTTAATATAATGAAAAGCAGCACTTTTAATATTCTACTTTAATAAAAAAAAATCTAAGTAAGTTATTCAGTGATTTATTTTAAAATGCAAAGCAAATGTGAGTTTAATGAGTTTAATACTTTGAAGAGCTAAATTCTTGAGCTCTAGGATACTGAAAAGAATAAAAGTCTGAGAAGTGTCCTAAGAGCTAAATATATTTTAAACTAAGAATGGAGAAGAAGGTTAGGTTAGGGTAAGAGACAGACAGAGAAAGAAAGAGATGATTTTAATGTTGACAGGCTTTATATACCTTAAGTATAGAAACTATATTAGGTTTTCAGAGCTATTAGAAAAATTGGACGGGGCACAGGCTTTGGAAAATTATATCTTAGCATGTGTAAGTGCAGCAGTTTTTTCCTTATAATTCTAAAGAAGAAAAATAGTTGGGAGGTAGCAGGGATTACAGTTTAATTTAGAAAGCATTTGTGGGAGGAATTTTTGGGAGACTTATAACAGTTATCTTATTTTCTGAGACAGAAACTCAAATATTAGACATTAAGTATTCTGGATTGGTGAGGAAAGCTTTAGAGGTTCAGCAATTAGCTTTCTATTCTGAAACAGTATTGTATTCGTTAACTTGGTAATTTTCTTAATAATGAATGACTACTGAAGGTTGTCAGACTCATTCTTTTGGGATGACAAAAATATTTTCCTATGTATAAATAAATAAGTTTCTGAATGTTAAACATTTCATGCATCACTGTATGGCATTTTATCATCCATCCAATTAGTACATTGAATGGAGAACAAACTCATTTAAACCACATACTTATTAAATATCCAGTAAAAGACCAAAACAGGGACATTCTCATTCTTCTGTTTTCCCTACAAGCACTGATACCATCTGGGCAGGTTTATTGCAGGAGCCATAGTATCTTTCCTCTTCCCATCAATTTTCTGTCTTCTGTTTCAGGAAAAAGATTCCACAAAAGAAAGAAAGGAAATATCTTTTCCTTTCGTCTTTTTAAAAGAGATGAGAAATAACATATCATAGGAGAATCAGAAATGGTTGGATTTGCACAATTTTTGCCAATTGAAACAAATTAACTGAGTGTAGCTAGAAATCATATGTTAACCTGTTTCAATTAATAAATTGATAAACCCCATAACTGCGTAGATAAAATAACTGCTACTACTAATAATAGTAGTAATAAAGCAATAGCTAAGAATTTCCTAGGCACTAACCTGATTATTTGCTTCTCTTAAATTACTTAATTTAATTCTCACAATAATCATGAAAGGGATGTTTTATTAGTGTTCACTGGACAAATGAGAAAACTGAGATGCTGAAAGGTGAAATAATATATTAAAAGTCATACATGTGGTAAGAGGCACACCTGGGAAGAAATCAGACTAATCCTGAAGTTTGTGTTCTTAAACTTTATACTGTAAAAAGCATTCTAATTCCACTTTTGTAAACAAAAAAAATGCAGTACAGCTCATATATTTAAGTTGTTTGATTTTTTTGTTGTTTTATTATTTGATCCTGAGAAATCAAAACTATTATCTAGCTATATAGATAGCTAGGAATGTATATACACATTTCTAAATAGAACTGATGTTTTAACTCTAAGGCTGTTTGCTTGCTCAAGATCTAGCATTTACTTCTTAGTTTTAAATCCTGAGGTCTGTCCTTTAGCATTTTCAACCTTTTTCCCCCTGAGATGTTTCCTACACTGTATTAGCTCAAGTGTCTGTGATATCTCTGAGAAGTTTTGTGTATAGTGACCAACTGTCTTCTGTCCTCTAAAATGCCCCCCACCAATTCAGGCAAGAGAAGATGAGTTCATACAGTCGAACTATAAAAGTTAAGGGGAAAAGGCCCTTTTAAATATACATGTCCTCTTTTCCTCAGTCTTTGAACAAGCTCTCCTTTCCCAAATCCTATCCATGTTTCACAGAACAATAGAGGAAATTTCAATTCGCTTAGTTTTAAAAGATGTTCAGACAGTTCCTGACTTACAAGACTTCAACTTACAATTTTTCAATTTTACAATGGTGTGAAAGCTATAGGCACCAATAAAGCCGTGCTTTGTTCTGTTTTTCACTTTCAGTACAGTATTCAATAAATTACATGAGATACTCAACATTTTATTATAAGATAGGCTCTGTGTTAGATGATTTTGCCCAATTGTAGGGTAATGCAAGTGTTTTTGAGCACATTTAAGGTAGGCTAGGCTAAGCTATGATGTTCTGTAGGTATATTAAGTACATTTTCAGCTTTATATATATATATATATATATATATATATTTTTTTTTTTTTTTTTTTTTTTTTTGTGGAGACGGAGTCTCGCTCTATTGCCCAGGCTGGAGTGCCCTGGCACGATCTCAGCTCACTGCAAGCTCTGCCTCCCTGGTTCACGCCATTCTCCTGCCTCAGCCTCCCGAGTAGCTGGGACTACAGGCGCCCACCACCACACCTGGCTAATTTGTTTTGTATTTTTAGTAGAGACGGGGTTTCACCATGTTAGCCAGGATGGTCTGGATCTCCTGACCTTGTGGTCCACCCACCTCGGCCTCCCAAAGTGCTGAGATTACAGGCATGAGCCACCGCGCCCGGCCGGTGTTTTCAACTCATGATGAATTTGTCGAAGGTAACCCCACCATAAGTCAAGTCCCATCATGCTTTCATAAAGATAGACTTTTCACTTGAATACCTACCCCACTTCTCCACAGGAAAATCACACTTTCTATAATTGTTTTATTATTGTTTTGTTACATATGATTGAAAATGTCTCCAAAATAATCTTTCTTAAATAAAAGTATACACATTTCTTCTTCAAATTTAGTGCAGCTGGAATATATATTTTTCAGTTTTAGAATAATGGTTTTGTCCCTGCTTTATCTGTATACAGGTTTTACAAATTCAGAATTATTTTGCTCTACTAAAACATCAACACTTTTTAATGATTAGAAATGTATACATCTCATTAGATTTGTTCTAAAATGTTTAATTTTTATTAGGTTGAAATGTAAAGCAAATACCCAGTTCAACATTAGAATCTTGGCAACCCTAAACAAATACAGTTCCAAAGCAAAATCTCTACATATTCCTACCAAAAAGCAAGGAAAAAACAAACAAAACCAAACCTGCATGTCTGCACATGGAGGAGAGATTTTCTATTTCTCTGATCTTCATCATGAAATGTCTCACCCTCTGTCCCATAAGAACAATGTCAGCACAAGATGCCAGTTACCTTCTTACACTGAAGACAGCACACTATTTTTCTTTCCAGTCTACTCATTTCTGTGGTAGAAATGCTGTTAACATTTTAAACCTTTGATATTTTTCACACATGAAGAATCTGTGACCAGGCAGGTTGAAGACAGTATCTTATATGAAATTAATAATATGGAAGACAACTGAGAAAACTGTGGCATAGTTTAGTTTAGTAAAATAATCTATGCCATGATAAACAATGTTTCCTTTCATTTCTCAATAAATAATGTTATGATGCCTATTCTGAGCTATAAATTGATTGGGGCAGAAAGTCAAAAATACATCCTTTTATTCAGAAATGTCTGTGTTAAACCAATATTTGTCATTCCATATCCATGATTTGTATTTACTTAACATCGTGTATCTCTCAAATTCAATGCTGAGAGAGCTTAGGTAAATTTCTCACTTAACCAAAAAAAAAAAAAAAACCAAAAAACCAAAAAACAAAAAACAGTAGAGTACAAGCTATAGTAAAGACAGGGTTAAACTACTCCAACATCCACATTTGTACCATCCCATCAGCTACCTTGATAATAGGCATTGCTTTTTTATTAATTAATATCAACTAGGAAGAGAGTCTGAGTACTTTACACACACCTCTTTATATTAATCATGCAAAGCCAGTATTATTTTTTATTATTGAGGAGATTAAGGCACAACATGCTTATTTTTTTATTTTTCAGTAGTATGTCATATTCTATTCTTTTTTTTCTAATTTCTATTTTTATTTTAGGTTCATGGTTGCATGTTTGTTAACTGGGTATATTGTGGGATGCTGAGATTTGGGATACAGTTGATCCTGTTACCCAGGTAGAGAGCATAGTCCCCAACAGTTGGTTTCTCAATCCTTCCCCTTTCTCTCTCCATCCTCTAGTATTTCCCATCTTTATGTCCATGTGTTCCCAATGTTTAGCTCCCACATATAAGTGAGAACATGCAGTATGGTGTTCAGTTCCTGTGTTAATTCACTTAGGATAATGGCTTCTAGCTGCATCCATGTTGCTGCAAAGGACAGGATTTTATTGTTTATTATGGCTGCATAGTATTCCATAATATATATGTACCACATTTTCTTTATCCAGTGAACCATTGATGACCACATAGGTTGATTACATGTCTTTGATATTGTGAATAGCTCTGTGATGAACAAACAAGTGCATTTGTCTTTTTAGTAGAACACTTTATTTTCTTTCTGATATATATCCAGTAATGGGATTGCTGGGTCGAATTGTAGCTCTGTTTTAAGTACGGTGAGAAATCTCCAAACTGCTTTCCACAGGGTCTGAACTAATTTCCATTCCCACCAATAGTGTGTAAGTGTTCCGCTTTCTCCACAGCCTTGCCAGCATCTGTTGTTTTTTGACTTTTTAATAACAGTATTGTGATTGGTGTGAGATGGTATCTTATTGTGGTTTTGCTTTGCATTTCTCTGATGATGACTGACGTGGAGGATTTTTTTGTTTCTTGGACACTTGTATATCTTCTTTTGAGAAGTGTCTGTTCATGTATTTTTTCCACTTCTTAATGAGGTTATTTGTTTTTTGCTTGTTCCGTTTTTTAAGTTCCTTATAGATTCTGGATATTTGAGCTTTGTTGTATGCACAGCTTGTGAATCTCTTCCTCCCGTTCTGTAGGTTGTCTGTTTACTATGTTGATAGTTTCCTTTGCCGTGCAGAAGCTCCTTTATTAGGTATTACTTGTCAGTTTTTGTTTTGGTTGCAATTGCTTTTGAGAACTTAGTCATACTTTCCCAAGGTTGATGTCCAGAATAGTGTTTCCTAGATTTTTTTCTAGTATTCTTAGAGAGTGAGGTCTTACATTAATCCATCTTCAGTTAATGCTTGTATATGGTGAAAATTAAGGGTCTAGTTTTATTCTTCTGCATATGGCTAGTCAGCTATCCCTGCACCATTTATTGAATAGACAGTCCTTTCCCCATCGCTTATTTTTCTCAATTTTATGGAAGATTAAACAGATATGTATGCAGCTTTATTTCTATGTTTCCTATTATTTTCCATTGATCTATCAACTTATTTAAATAATATAAATCCCAATCTATTAACTCATTTAAATAATATATATCCTAGTAGAAAGTAAGCACCACAAAGAGTTTGTCTGTATACTAGTTCTGTCAGTGTGGTATCCCCAGAGTCTAGAACCATGTATGGCACATGAAAGATATTCAGTAAATAATTGTTGAATGAATGAAGAAATAAACTTGTCTATCCATTTGAAAATTTATCTTTGAATCTAAATGTTTAGTTTTTATCATTTACCATAAAAATAGTTTCTTTCTTTTGCTATGTGTATATTTTAAATTATTTTTATTTATATGAGATTGCTGAGTGTCTTGGAGAAAAGCTTGAGTAGGTCTGAAAGCTTCAGAAGCCACCGTCCCCAGTAAAGGGAAATATCTATAGACAGTTCTTTATGTCTGGGTCCTCAGGATATGTAGCCTATGGCCTCATTTTCCTGGCCAAATCAGAAGACTTCTGAAACAAAGGTAACAATTTATAGGTTGGCCCCAGGTTTGATCTGAGATTCTTGGTCATTACAATTCTGTCAATCAGAGCACATTTTCATGGTTGCTAGTCATGAGGCAGAAACAATGGAGAAGGTCAGAAATCCCCGCTTTGGGAATTGCTCTCAGCAGGAGATGTTTTACCTTAAGTCATGCCCCTTCCTGGGATAGCCAGCATCACTAGTCAATGTGAGCCTACAAAGGCCAGCATCTTACCTCAGTTTGGGGTAGTTCTGAAAGGACATACTAGCTACAGAACATTCTATTAGCATCTCCCTTTGCTCATCATGCTTCCTTCCCTCCTTTATAGCTCTTGTTCCCAAGAGCATTCCCACATTTCCTTGTTGCATATAAGCTCCATCACAATGTCTGTTTTCAATAGAATCCAATCTGCTAAATAATAATATTTTGAGACAGGGACCTGACAATATTTTTTAAAATAAATTTCCAATAGAGATTATAATGTAACCGATTGGAAGTAGCCATTTCTCTAAGCAATCTTACATTTGATATGAAGATTACAAGATAGAATAGAATAGATATGAAGATTACAAGCAACCATGAAAATGTGCTCTGATGGACAGAATTGTAATGACCAAGAATCTCAGATCAAACCTGGGGCCAACCTGTAAATTGTTACCTTTGTTTCAGAAGTCTTCTGATTGGCCAGGAAAATGAGGCCATAGGCTATATATCCTGAGGACCCAGGCACAAGGAACTAACTGTCTATAGATATTTCCCTTTACTGGGGACAGTGGCTTCTGAAGTTTTCAGACCTACTTACATATCAATCTTACATTTGATATGAAGATTACAAGATAGAATAGAAGGATATATGGAAAGGGACATGGATGAAATTTTAAGATGAACATGCAAAAAATAAAACTGTGCTACAAGGTATAGAAGAAAATCAGAAATTGCCATAAACTTTATTTTCCAATTTTACATAAAGCCAGCTTTAAACGAGAAGCTATATTTGTAAGTGATGACTGCCATCAGGTAGAAAAAGATCAAAGACAGATTTTAAATCATGTCCCAATTTTGATCAGTTGGTAGAAGCCAGGTGAAAAAGGATTATGGGGTTAATTCTGCAGGTATTGAGAAAATGTCCATCGCTGATTAGTGATTTCTCTCATGGATGGAAAAAAGGAGCTTGTATTGGATAACAGAGGCAGAATTCCTTATCTATAAATAATAAAACTGTTAATGAATACCTATCCTCCTCTTACTTTTTATTAATAAATTCATACTTTATGGTATATTAGAAATATTTTACTTCAGAGGAATATATTCACTGTGTAGATTACTGGTCATTTGTCATTGCAGAACAGGCAATCCTCTACCCATTGTTCTACCTTTTATTTGTAACAAATGGTAGTATCTTTGCGTCATCTACACATCCATGTTTAGACCAATATATCAGTGAGGCTATCATTGAAAAGGAGGATAGATAAGTTTCACATCATATAGCACTAAGACAAACTGAAGAACACTAAATTCATTTAGTATCAGCAGACTCAGTGACATCATTGTACAGAAATCTCCTTGTTTAGTAAGGATAACTTCTAAAAGTAGTTGTCTACGCCCAGAAGCTTTATATTTAAAAAGAGGTCCAAAAGTTCAAGCAATATACCAAACTAACATTGCAAACTTAATAGCGATATTCATCTCATTTGTTTCTCACTGTTGAAATTCAATGTTAGTATGTATTTGAAACCTGGTATAAATCGTGAGGTAAGAGAAGTTTAAATCACAAAGCAGAAAATATGTTTCTTTTTAGTGAGGTTTTATTTTTGAATGCATAATATGTAGCTATACCTGCTGGAATTTGTTCCCTTAGTTGGCATTTTGGAAGCCAGATGCATTAAAGAAGATTCAGATAGTATGCACAGAAGATAACTGCTTAAGGTTTCTGATCTCAGTAGTTGTGTTTGGTTTATGTATTTTTCCTTTTTGATGATACATTATGTGCTTTAATAGATGAGAAAGGTTATAGTTGTGATCTCTAGCAGCTTTTGTAAACTGCTCAGCATTTGTAGAATTAGGATTCACTAATTTTATTAATTAGCAATCTTATTCACATGCTTAAGTGTGAGTATGATCTTCATCTTGTAAAAGTTCAGATAAGCAGAGAAAAAAATGGTGACAGAAACATTTTAAAAAGACATCAAAAGGTAATATATTTTATAAATGTCCTCTCTTTTTTGGTAATATGAAAGCCTTTCCAGAACTTCCACATGGCTGCAGGATGGCAGATGACATGTTCTGAAGATCAGTGGTTACATAAATATAGCCCAACTTTGGATAGAAATGTATTTTAGCTTATATCTTTTTCTGGAAAATGACCTATAACTCCACACCAACCAACACTATAACCTATATTCCCATGGAACACATTCTTTAGATCGGTGACCTTTATTTTCTAGTTTAGTTCAGTAGTTTCATTCACACATTTAAAATGAGATGCTAACAAGGCTACTTAATTTCGTTGAAGGATTTTACAAGGGTCAGATTGCCATTAAGTACATAGTTAATTTTTTATATGGAACCCTATCTTTTTTGTCTATTTAACTCAAACGTCCTTAAAATGCTAGGCTTAAGTAAAATAATTGTTTTTTCCGGTTTTTCACTTAGGAATTTTCCCTTACATCTCTTAAGAAAGTTGATTAATGCTAACTGTTTGTTTTGTCCTTTGTAGCCTTCCATGCTGTGTTTTACGGTTTACATATTATTAGAATTCCATGTTTAGTCTTAGGCTTCTAAATTGAGGAAGGGAAAAACCGTTTTAGAACTTACGACCAAGAATAACATAAAAGGCAAAGAGATGGAAAAGATGTGAACGCTTGCTTTGGAGAAGATATTATTGCTAAGGAACTCAATAACCATCTTCAACTAACTGAAGAGCAGATTAGTAGAGGGGAGTAAGTTGGGCATAGTGTCCCACTCAAGTCTCCCTTCAAGAAAAGTCTTAGCTCTCCAGCTTTTAGGAATACTGTCAGTAGATGGCCATCGACTCTCAGCTCCTCCATAGATTACCTCAGCTGCAAAGAGCACTCTCATCTAAAAGTCACACTGTATCTGGGAGAGCCTGAACTCAATTCATTCAGGTAGAGGTCTGAAATCTTGCCCTTTTTTGACCAACATAACACAGCTACTGCTGACCATTTAAGCCTTGGAGCTTCCTGTGGAGTCAGCTGAGTCAAATATTGGACCTATATCACCACTCAACTTCTCCTGCCCAAATATTTGTCCTCCTCTATCCTTGTCTTCTCTTCCCTTTCCTTCCACTGGTATTGATCTATGGCAGTTCTTTATAGTGTGCACCTCTTTTCATTAGTTCTATGAGTTGTCTCAGGAACAACAAATGTATGGTCACATGTCTTTCTGAGATACAGCATTCCTCTTTTTTTCTCTTGGAGATTCTTTATTTGGGTAGGTTTCCTTACACTTCTCCTTCTATACATTCCTTCTTCCCAATATCATGATAAAATTCTTTCTCAAGCAAAATACTTGTGTTTCCCCCTGCTTACTTTTGTCTGTCTTTTACAGGTCACATCTTCATTACATATAATAACAATGGTAGGCTTAATAGCCTTTTGCCATGTGCAAGTAACTAAGTGAAACAAAAACACACCCACTAAGTGAGGGGGGAGAAAAAGGGAGAAAGAGAGGGAGGGAGACAGAGAGAGAGCAAGAGAGAAGAGTGCACATTTGTTAGGGGGATAGTTTGGTTTTGGGTGTTAAGTCCTGATATTATAGGGTTGAGGTTCATCACATGTATTAGATTCTCAAATCTCTTTTATCTCAATTACAGCTATTACAATTCCATATAATTTATTAACTTATTGTTTAGACAAGAAGTTTTGTGTGTGAGGGTTGTAGGAGGTAGATACATGAGCTAAACTCCAAACACTTAAGCATATAACACAGTGACAATGATCATCTGATTTCCATTTTTTAAGGCTGATATATTTTCAACTACCTTTGAGTCATCTGCACCCTGCTTCACATATCTGTGATTGTACACAGCTTCTTCCTTATTAGCACTATCTTTGGCCCATTTGGGGCATTCCTATTCATGCTTTAACTTTCAGGATAAATGCCATTTCCTCAAGGAAGTCTACTTTTGTCTCTCAGGAAAACAGACAACGGCTCCACTGTTCTCCAATAGCATGTTTTATAAATATTTTGTGTGTTTGCCTCAATGCTTATTACATTTAGTTATATGTTTTTATTTTGGTTGCATACCTTCCTTAACTCTAAGGTTCTTCAGATAGTTTTTTGTTTTATTATTATTACAGCCTAGAGGTGCCCACCATTTATAAAATAATAATAATAATATAATATTAACTGGTAGGTTGAAAGGTCATAAATTCACTCATTTAAGAAGCTTGGACTTAATGCAACTAACAATAAGTGGTCCTCATTTTGTTAATATTACATGAAACAGGTTTGCCAAATAAAGTCAATGTACTCAAGTAATGTATTTCTGTGAATGAAGAAGAAAAGTACAACACAATTTTATACAACACAAACAACCACAAAATAAAGCAAATAAAAAGAACACTACTGAATGCAATAATATATTTTTCTCAATCTAATGTTCATTATTGAACTTTCAAACTGGATAAAGCTTATACTGCTCAGACATGTCTTGATACATGTAAAAGCCAAAACTGTAAGAGCAAAATGCCTAATGATTGCAGGATTATCAGAAAAAACACAAAAAAGAGATTAGACTTGATATTTGATTAGTATACATATGATGAGGTATGATTCCCCACTAAGTAAATAATTATTCTTTAGCCTTGAATATTTGCTGTCATTAATTTTACAAATATTCCAATAATTAGAATAACTAATTTATAATAACTAATTATGTTATTTATGATTATTATTGAATGAATGTTGATGTGGATTTCAGCAGATGATGCTTCTAATAAACATGGACCTCCCAAAACAGGATTTTATTAATATAATCTTATTTATTAAAATTCTCTGAACTCAGATACAGGGGATTCGTTTCCACGCACATGAAGGCCAAATCTGAGTTACAACCAAGGATTCAAAATAAGCCTTCACATTTGATTAAATATTTATATTTTTATATGCTCTTCCACATATATTACCTAATTTGTAAATGTATTTTAGAAACATGCTAATATTAAATTATAGTTTACATAAAAATAAGATCTAGATTCCTATTAATTTTACCTTCAACATTATTCTTTGTTTTCCTTTGTGATTCATTAATTTGTAAATTTAAATTGTTTTAAAAGTTATATAAAATGATGATTGACATTTGGTTTCCTCTATCATTACTTGTGTTTTAATTTAGAGACATTTTTTACACCAACGCACAAAATTTAGCTGTGATTATATCAAGTTCATAGATTAATCTTTGTTTGGCTCATCACGGCCAAGTTTTGTTTTACTTCTCGTTAGTTTAAATCTAAAAAACAGTCACTTTGAAGTCAGTTTTGCTACAGTTGCTGCAGGCATAGATGATTCAGCACTGTAACAGAATACAGAGACACAAAAAGCCATGTAAGTTTTTTTTCTAATGCTGTTTTTTGAGTAAAGTAAGGACAAAAAATATATGTTGACTGAATATTCTGGATAGGTCCCCTGCTCAATAAGGGGTCTGTCTCTTGTGTCGGTCTGACATGGCATATATTATTTGGATACTTTTGAACACAAAATTTTCTTTACAGAACAATTGATGAAACCCTAAGTATTTCATTTTCTGAATGAAGAGAAACAGAGAGAGAGAAATGAAAGAAGGTAAGAAAGATGACATAATTATTAACATTTTCCTAGAAAATGTGGACTTAAAAGATCTATTATTACTTTGACATTCATCTGTGAAGTATCACAACATATTTCTTGTACCTTTTTAAACATAAAGTATCCAGTTTCATTTGGAAGCATGTGTCTTCAATTTATAATGTCTTACCCAATTCACTGAAGTTTGTCTTTTCATCCAGAGACAAGCTGATAACTTGTGGATGACAAGCATCCACTAATATTTGCCCCTAGACAACTACTCCACACTTCTTTCTGATGTTATACACAATACACATTTTAGAGAAAAAAAAAAAGCAGACATGCAACAATCAAATGCTTATCCATTCGGGAATGTCCCAACAGATGTCAGTTATAGATCAGTGAGGAAGTTTCAGGGTGAAAATGTATTGAGGACATTGAAAAGATAGACGAAAATAGTGATAAAGCAAACATATTTAGTTCAACTGGAAATGGAATCTAAAAAAAGCTAAGGGAACCTGAGCCAAGCTGATATCAATTTGGTGATGGTGCCCTCAGGGCCCTTGTCTGCCTTCCTAAACTGCTCTCTACTCTGTTTCTTTAAGAATTCAGTCAATCTTATGAAATCAGACAGTCTTAGATTTTTATGTTTCTTTTCTCTCTCAGCTTCTGCTATTAATCAGCGTTTAATTACAATTTAGAAACGTGTGGGAGATGATATAACATCTGCAATGTAACATACTAGGATTGGAAAATAAATTAACTCTGGGATTCTCTTTCTTTTGGTCATATGCTACACGATATTTCAATTTTTCTCTACTATCTACAGATGTGTTTGCCTCCATATAGTCGTATTTACCTAACTTTCTCCTGCCTCAATTAGATAAGTACACCTTATTTTTCTCAAGATTTTTTTTTGGCCAGGCATGGTGGCTCACACCTGTAATCTCAGCTACTAGGAAAGCTGAGTTGGGAGGATTGCTTGAGGTCAGGAGGTTGAGGCCAGCCTGGGCAACATAGTGAGACCCCATCTCTAGGGGAAAACTGACTTTTCCTTCTAACTTCTGTGTTATCAGAAATTCTTGCCTTGTTATTTATTTTATATTTTTCAACTTTTGCTTTCTAATTGTTCCTTTTTTCACTTATATTCACTTATTTCATTGTTCATGACCCATTGTGAACTCTAATAACTGTCTTATCTATTCTCTTTTCTTCAGAAGCAAGCTTTTTCAACAAGGAATATACATTACTGTTTCTGCCTTATAAGATTACATCCTCTCTACATCCCATGCAACCTGGTTTCTGTCCTCATCACTCTGCTCTAACTGCTCTTACTAAGGTTTCCAAAGACTTGGAATATTGCCAATGCCTTTGGGCATGTTTTTTATTTTATTTTATATACCTCTCTGTGGCATTTGACACTTCATTATTCCACCTCTTAAATTTTCTCCTTCCTTGGCTTTCATAATATTTCAAAATTCTAGTCAACTTCCTCTGTCTCTGATTGTTCAATCTTTGTTTCTTTTGTAGTAGAATCTTTCTGTCTACTATTTAAACGAATTTATGTGAATTAGTACTTCTTTATACATTTTATTCTTATTCATGAAAATTCCAAATGCATATGGCTTTAAATGTGTCTTCATTTTGATAATAAATATCTATATTTAGAAAAAATATATTTTATAATTAAAAGTAAAACTCCACTTTTTATATTTATGTGTGTTTATGCATTAATCATTTCCTCTCATACCTAAAAGTCTACCATTATTCTTTATTCTGTTAGTAATACCAACATTTTCTAAGTCAGAAGCATAGGGATTATCCTTGCTTCCTATACCTTTTCTTCTTCCAAAATTCAGTTGGTCACTAGTTCTGTAGTGTAAGTGTTTTTCATCTTCTCTGTATTCTGTTTTCTTTCATTGTTTGTTTGTTTTGTTTGCTTTTTAAGATGTAGGTAGTCTCTTCTGTTTTCTGAGTATTGAAGTGCCAGGTAAACGTTCTCTTCTTCATCCTTTCTGTATTTATTTGAGTTCAGACCTGCATAATCTAACACACCAAGTTATTATAACAGTCCTCTAAATTGTCTCACTGTCTCCAAATTTTATTATTTCCACTTGTTTCTCATCTTAAACTTGACAATAATTTTCTTTGCTCTCAAAGTCATAAGCCTAGAACAAGTGTGAGTTATACTACCCTTACAGTAAATTGCCATCAACAGCTTCCCTTAGGAATCTTTTTGTCAATTTTGGACCTGTTTACTATGACTTCCCCCTGCCAAATTATACATAGACCAAACAAGTAATTATCCTTTGCCTTATATTTGATATTATTTCTGCCTTTACATTTCTGTACATTATTTTTTCCTTTGCCTATTGGGCATTTCCCTTCTTTGTTTGATTAGTATCAAGACACAGCTCATGTGTCTCCTTCATAAAGGATTCATAAGCCTCTTCAATCAAGAGAGATGACTTCATCTATGTGACTCCTCTGTGGCTTGTAGTTCCCTATTTTGAGAATTTTCCTACAATATTTTAGAAGACTACTAAGAAAAACAACAGATGATTGACAGGCTACAGATTGTGCAAATATGTATTTTTTTCTCTTTGTATATTTTCCAAGTTTTCTTTAGTGATTATGTATATCTTTATAATATATAAAATGGTACATAAGACTTTAGAGTATTTATAAATATGTGTGTTTTTTAAATGGAAACACACAAATATTATTCACTACAGAGTAAATTCCTTGTAGACAGACTTTTTCATTTTTTCTTTCCTTTATAAAAATTATTTTAAAATTCATCTCTATTTCAACTGGGGGTCTACTGATTAAACAAGAGTACAAATTAGTAACATAGCATGTCAAAATAAGTAAACAGTACCTAAAATTTGGCAAATGAGATTTTTGAAGTAAATGAAGCATAAGCATGGTAGTTTAATATGAAGAGCTATAGCACAAATAAAATTTTAAGATTTCTCTTTTCATTTTATAAATTATCTTGACCTTTGTTGTAGCAACTAATATTTTTGTGTGACTGAATATGCTCTATATTTAGTCCAATTTCTAAATTGAGCTTTAATACAAAGTTTGTTTGCTTGTTTATGTGTCTTAAAATTCATCTGTCTGATGATGTTTTGGACTGTTATTTTATATTTATATTTATTTTTTTAACATGCCCCAGTCCTCTATGTTTTGTCATAGTTGGCTTTTCTAAGCTCCTTTTGTAGGTACATCTCACATACTTGTCATGATTCAGGTCCCTCATTGCCCTACACAAAGAATTCATTTTATTTTATTCTCCTCCTACATCTCTGTAGTCATTCTGATATTAGAATTTTGTACTCCAGATTTTTATTTTGGTACTTGAATGCTCAATGTTACATCGAAGATTTCATAAGCTAGCACTACCTCTGTTCAATGTTAGTTTACAGCTATTAGAAAATGATCTTGAAATATTCCATATTATCTTGAGTATTTTAAGAGTAGTTTTGTGGATAATTTCAACATATTATTTTATCATAAAATTATCCCATATAACAGTATGTGAAGTAACATCTCATTCCAAATAAGAAGAATTTGCTGTAACTTCAATTAGTGTTGACTATATCACAAATGAATCTTTTGATTGTCCTTCAAATTATACTCAATAAACAATAAATCTTTCTTCTCCTCTACTCTGCTAAAACAAGGCAGAGGAGGAATGTACTAATGAAAGACAGGATAAAGGATAGGTATGATCATGATACACTCTTTGCCAAAGATTTACAATTATCATTTGTTTCAAGGAATGATGAGACTGTCAACGGCAAAAAAGAATTATTGGGAACCTAAGTATCACAAAAGAGCAACAACAGATTCTAATAAATTAATGTAGTGCCTAATGGCTCATTGACAAGTGAAAAATGACCAGAACTGTTTGTAATACATTTGAATTTCAGCTGAGTTGAGTTATTTTATCATGATTGAGAAAAAAGTGTATACATATTGTCCACTTAGATTTTCAAATATTTAATCTATAGTTTTGGGTTTTCTATTTTTATTAGATTAAGATTAAGAGAAACTAAAGAAAACTAATTTATTGTACACATTTTTTTAAAAAGGTGCGCATATATTTTAAAGTGTCTCATTATGAAATATTTGCCTTTTACACTGAGTTGATTATATATGACCAGTAAATTAAATATAATCCATGAGCATTTAAGTTCCACGAAGTATTTTTATAAGTAGCAGAGCTATTTTGCACTTATAATTATTGAGAAAATAAAGAAATTTAAAAAATTGTTAGTAAAAAAATTAAATTGTTTTTTCTGCTAGGTTTCCAGGATAAATAAATTAAATTTTACAGAAATAGGCATTTTAAAAAAAAATTCAGCATAGCAATATATAAATACAGTAAAACTATGAAGGATAAAATTGGGAATACAAGATACACATTTGTAAAAATATTCTAAAGATTAAGTAAAGAGAAGAAATCCATTAGAAAAGTATGAAATAGATCTGATAATATTTAAAAAGTAAATGCAAATAATAAATAACCAAAAAGGTGTTTCACCTTTCTCATAATTAAATAACTATAATTTTCCACTTAAAAATTAACTAATATTAAAAATGTTGATAATGTTTATTCTATAAGGCAGCACAATTTTGATCATTTGGCAATATTCAAAATTAAAAATGCTATGTCCTTTGATGAACTTAAATTGTTGGGGATATCAACAACTTAGAAATAAAAAATTCCTTAATGTTTATTAACAATGCTTATATAGTTTGTTAATTACATCAGGCTCTATTCAATATGATTTGAAATATTAATTTGTTTAACCTTCATAATAACCTTGTGAGCTATTACTATTATTGTTCCCGTTTTGCACCATGATCATAGAGCTAGTAAGGGCAATGGTGATGTGAGTGCAGTGCTAAGACCCAAAACCCAGAACTTGAACTCTAGAGTCTGTGTCTTAAAACACAACACTATGCTGCTACTCTGTATATTTTGCATGAATTATGATTCCTCCATGTAGTTGTTATGAAATGAGGTAGATCTGGATAAGTTGATAGAAAATAATTCCAAAATTTAATTCCATTTGAAAAAACAAGATGCAGGTGTATATAATATGTACAAGTTGTTTAAAATTAAGTTGGACAGAAAGAAAGGACAAATCACTGGAGAGAGAAAGAGAAAGAAAGGAAAGAGAGCGCATGCTCAAATCCTACTCTACTCTAGAACTTTATTGTTGTCTGGCCTTGGGCAAGCCACTTTTCTCACCTGGGCCTGAGTTTTCTCTTATATAAATTGGAGGTCAGAATAGAAGCAATTGAATGGGATTTTTGTAAGGATTAAATGACATAATGCATGTAAAATACTGAGAACAATACAGATAATGTAATTTTACCTCTGGAATTGTTAATGTTTTTTGTTTGTTTTCAGTGTCACAGGGATTATGCAATTGTGAATTTTGTTTTCATGTTCTCTTGTATTAAAAGAAACCTACATTTTATTGTTTGTAATTAAATATCAAATATTGACTTTCTTGTTTATTCAGGAAAATTCAGAATATATCAGAACTTCATGTATGCTTGAATATTTATGTAGTATGATTTTATTTTAGCTGACATTCCTAAAGAATTTTCAAAGTTAAAATCTGCTATTTATAGAATACATGCCTTTCCTGCTTTGACATTGGGGAGTTATTTGGCTTATCCTAAATTGGACTATTTTAAAGTGCGGGGTTAGTACCAATACTGTATTTAAAACTGTGTTGAGACGTCTAACACAGCATCTTACTAAAAAAAGAAGTATTGATCAACTTTTTCCACAATGGATGTCCTGAACCTGCATTCTGTCTGTTCAATAATCAGCAAGCACTGTGTATGATGACCACCTTCAGATGGGGTGGAGCTTTATTTTTTTCCATGGTTTCCATTGTTCCATTTTATTGCTGTCATTGATCATAATAATCAGCTCTCATTTGTCACCATAAACCGAGCCTCTTCATTCATTGACTAATATCAGACATGTTGTAAAAAATTAAATAAGTGTCTAATAATTAGAGGATCCCTATACCCCTTTTTAGTATTTTTATGGTTCTAAATAAATGATAAGAATGTCAGATACTATACATTCTAAGAAGAAAGAAAAGAAATATTCCATATGATTTGAGGGAAGGAAAAGTACTAAAAGAGTTAAGTGAGTTATATTAGAAGAAAAGGTTAAAGGAGATCACACAAGACTTTAGTGAGATAATGGAATATGCTACCACTTTGGATTTTGGAGAGACTGTAATCATCTTGATCTAGCTGGGCAGATTGTTTTGTCTGATGCATAGACCTTTGATTGAGTTAGAATCTGTACCCTCAGATTTCATTTCTGAAATGTATCTCTGAAATATCTCCAAGTATAATTCTTCCTGTTGCTTTTAAAATAGGCACTCAAGCCATGTATAATTTGAAGTTTAGTAAAATCTAGAAGAAATGGTTATTCTGTCATTGTAATAATATTTGTATTTTATCATTTGTTAGTTGATTGTTAACAAATATGTAGATCAGTGTTGGTGGCATTTACTTGTTTCTCTTCCACTCCCCACAAACAATACATTATTAAAAATGCTTTGATAGGGGCCAGGCGCGGTGGCTCATGCCTATAATCCCAGCACTTTGGGAGGCCTAGGAGGGCGGATCACCTGAGGTCGGGATTTCGAGACCAGCCTGACCAACATGGAGAAACCATGTCTCTACTAAACACACACACACACACACACACACACACACACACACACACAAATTAGCCTGGGGTGGTGGCGCATGCCTGTAATACCAGCTACTCGGGAGACTGAGGCAGGAGAACCACTTGACCTGGGAGGCATTGGTTGCTGTAAGCCAAAATTGTGGCTTTGCACTCCAGCCTGGGAGACGAGCAAAACTCCATCTCAAAAAAAAAAAAAAAAAATGCTTCGAAAACTATTTTGAGAATTTGTTATTATTAAATGACGATGAAAGGAAAGTCATAATTGTATTACATATTTGACCAAGGTAATTTTATGTATCAAGATAAATTTTCAACGAATATACCTGAAAATATTCTATGGAAATTATCAGAAAATATACTCAAGAATACAGCTCTGAAAATCTGGGAAACTAATTCTGCTGATAAATTGGAATTTCTGAACTTAACTTCAAGAATAGTTGTGGCACAAACTGTTTAGCCTGTACCACAAAGCTCTGATAAATGTTGATGGAAATGAACATCCTCTTTATTTCAAGTTAATCAGAGAGCAACACAATTCACTTAGTCAGCACTGAGAGCTGACATGCCAACGATGGAATATAGTGCTGTATTCAAATACTCATCTATTACTCAATCATAGTTTGTAGAAGGTGACAGTAAAGATTGATGTGCATCCAGTGTGCACCTTTTTAGTTTAATAGCAGGCTTGGTTCTGAAGGACAGCTCCCGCTATTTAAGTTCAATTTGGAGATTTCTTCTCTCTCTCTTTCCTAATTCTCTTTATTCTTCTCCACTCCCACCAATAAGGAAACTCATCAATAGGATACAAAATACCCAGCAGAATACTTGTGCTAATTATTTTTGACTAAAAAAGCTATACATCCTTTCTTCACAGTACCTTTAGAAATGTAAGGAAAAATTGGATGCATTTAATAATTACTGATCTCCTACTAGATACTCAGCACATTGCTAGCTTTTCATATCCATTTAATTATTTTGCAAATATTATGAAGTTAGAGAGGAGGTTGGAAGTCTGAGTTTAGGAAACAAATATCCAAGTACAATCTCTTCTAGACCACGCATTTGCTCTGTGACTCTCAGGAAGGAATTCAAGATGCTCTGTGTCCCAGATTTTTCATCTGTTACAAATAGGTATATAATACCTGGATCTTCATGTTGTTTGAAAGTTTAATGAGAAAATTTTCTGAAATGATTAGCGTAACTTAAGAAATAGAAAGAGTACACTACATAGTAAATATTACTATTACTGTTCACATTCTACCGTTAAGGAAACTGAAAGCTAGATATGTTAGGCAACTTAAAGTGACAATGCAAATAATTTAGACTGGAATTCAACAAAGTCTATATCTTTCCTCTCCAGTATACTCTTGATAATTTCATTGGTAGACTATAATAAAGGAAAACCAGGATATTTTTGGGTAAAATTATATACAACTCGCAGAAAAAAAACAGCCTATATTTCTTGTTTCTCCTTACTTTTTTCACAGAATGTCTGAGCATTTTATACACTATTTTTTGTAAATAAAGTACAATGCAGTGCTTTAAATGGAGTAATGAATTGCCATAGGTATACTTTACCCCCAAGGACTTCCATCATCAAACATCCTTTTGGAGAGATTTATATATCTGTATTACATATTTGCTCCCAGCTAAAAATTGGCCTACAAGTTTTCAAGTCAATTATTATTTGATTTTTTCTTTCTAACATTTTTCCTTGAATGGAAACATTTATTAGAGTGAATATGTAGGAAATTCTATAGTGTAGTCTTTCTGGCACATTTTAATTACTAACTCCTTCAGGCACTGCTGGTTTTGCAGGATATTTTTCTGGAATTTATTCCTTTTAAAGATGCCTTCAAGGCTACATTACCGTAAAATAATAATGTACCTGTATGATCATTTACTTGGAACTCTACCTTTCTAACAGTGATATTTTATTTCCTCTTTTATTATCTATATTGTGCTTCCCTTGGGTTTATCATTTATACTGTAGTATGAGAAAGAGACATTAAATGATAAATCTGTAGAAAAACAGTCCATAATGTAAGTAAGCTTGCTTGGCAATAGTTAATATGGAAAAATCCTGGGGAATTTTCTCCATGGAAATCAGCAAACACTACAGATGAGGGCTTTTCTTTCAGAGAGCCAAGTGGTAAAACATTTACTAACACATCAACTTTATACATAAATAAAATTCTTGTGTGCCTTTGGTAACAGGGGAAAGGAGTGAGTAATTTCTCTCTTTTTTTTTTTTTTTTTTTAGACGGAGTCTTGCTCTGTTGCCCAGGCTGGAGTGAGGTGGCGCGATCTCGGCTCATTGCTGCAAGCTCTGCCTCCTGGGTTCATCCCTTTCTCCTGCCTCAGCCTCCCGAATAGCTGGGTCTACAGGCACCTGCCACGATGCCCGGTTAATTTTTTGTATTTTTAGTAGAGATGGGGTTTCACCGTGTTAGCCAGGATGGTCTCGATCTCCTGACCTTGTGATCCACCTGCCTTGGCCTCCCAAAGTGCTGGGATTACAGGCATGAGCCATCGCACCTGGCCAGGAGTGAGCAATTTCTTTAATGATTCTTTAGCGGTGATAACTATCCACTCTTTCTATATAATTTGGTCCAGACCCATCCCTGTTTCTCAACTTTTCCCCCTTCTTTTAGCCTATCAGATGAGAATGAGCACTAATAAACTGAAAGCAAACCAATATTAATTACTGTTTAAGAGTGTTATAATAATTAACCTAGCCACAACACAAAGTTTTTCCAAAAGAATGCAAGCAATAACACCATTGGAAAGAATTCAAGAATTCCTGTGGCCAAGAAGAGGAATAAATAATTTGGGGAGTGTGGGATTTTGGTATTCTTTATCATCTTCTGCATAGGTTTACAAGTCATATTAAATTCCTCCCACTTAACTAGAACACGTTAAATTAATTATATAAATTTTGCTTAGTTAATAAAATTTAATATTTGAGATAAATGTGTTGGCTTAAATATTCAAATGATTTTTCTGAATGCATTTTGAAATGTCAAGTATGACATTAAAATTTTTGAGTTGCACAATAAATCTGCAAAGTGGATATATGTATATTTATATCCTTTAAACATTTATCTTTTAACTTTGAATAAAAGGACGGTGATATTGTTTGGCTATGTCCCCACTCAACTCTCATCTTGAAATTTAGTTCCCATAATCCCCACGTGTCATGGGAGGGACCTGGTGATAGGTAATTGAATCGTGGGGGCAGTTACCCCATGCTTCTGTTCTCATAACAGTGACTGAGTTCTCATGAGAACTGATGGTTTTATAAGGGGCTTTTCCGTCTTTGGTCAGCACTTCTCCTTCCTGCCATCATGTGAAGGACGTGTTTGCTTCCACTTACACCAAGATTGTAAGTTTCTTGAGGCCTCCCTAGCCCTGCTGAACTGTAAAGAAAATTGAACCTCTTTCCTTTATAAATTACCCAGTCTCTGGCAGTTCTTTATATTAATAGCAGTGTGAGAATGGACTAATACAGATGGCAAAATATAATTTGGGAAACAAACACATAATATTAAGTTTATCTATAAATTTTGTATATTATGAATAACATAACTGATACAATTTATCACTCTTTCTTAAGAAAGACTAGATACGGCCAGGCATGGTGGCTCACACCTGTAATCCCAGAACTTTGGGAGGCCAATGTGAGTGGATCACGAGGTCAGCAGATCGAGACCAGCCTGGCCAACATGGTGAAACCCCATCTCTACTAAAAATACAAAAATTAGCTGGGCATGGTAGTGCATGCCTGTAATCCCAGCTACTCGGGAGGCTGAGGCAGGAGAATGGTTTGAACCAGGGAGTCGGAGGTTGCAGTTTGCAGAGATTGTGCCACTGCACTCCAGTCTGGCAACAGAGCTGGAGTGAAAAAACAAAAACAAAAACAAAGCAGATACAACTTTCCAAAACATAGGACAAATATATTTTTTCTCATTAGCTCACGTTGGATAAAGATGTAACCATGCATTTTTTTGTACCTAAACAACACATAGTTTCATTCATTTAATAAATATTTATCAAGAACATGCTATATGTTACAGGTTATACTAGGCTCTAGAGTTACAGGCATAAAAAACACCAACTCCCTATCTGTAAGCATTTATGTTCTACTGAATACCTATTTCAATTCTACCACTTTATAAGTGATGAATACTAAGTCTCAGAGAGGAAAGGGTTAGCTTTCCATCTCTACCATGTTTGGAGACTGTTTAAATTTCCCTTCAGTTATTTTTCTTTAAAAAATGTAATACTGAATAATTTTCACCTTGCTTGATTGTCATATTTCAAAGATGTTAATCATCTTTGAGATTCTCATTTAATTTTTCTAAACTTTGTCAGAACCTTAGAGCTAGTGATTATAATCACAAAGTCTGAGAATAATAATTATTCATGTTAACTATTTATTATATCCTCTAGACTTTGTCAATGACACAAATTTTGTATCACTTTTCACAAGAACCTTCATTAGAAACGAAGCAGAAAAAAAAATGACTAAACAAATAAAAACAAAACACAAACAAAAACTTTCATGCCTGTTCATATTAAAGAGGATTCATTAATACTTAGAAAAGTGTAAAATATGTTTGCTACATGCACAACCCAGATAATGCAGTTATGGTTTCTAAATGAACATCCCCCAATGTAGCTATCAGAATTCCCTGCATCTCTAGAACCACCTAAAATCTAATGAATCAGAGTATCTGTAACCAGAAAACATTATTTTTTGAAATATCAGCCAGTGGAGGAACCACTAATCTCGAATTTAACTGTTGATTCATAGATTAAAAAGGATGACATCACCCACAGACTTTCCAAATTGAAAATTAATTATTCCCATCATTTCCCATTTCTCAACCAAGCTATTAAAATCAAATGTGGGTAGTTTGTTTTGGAGATCTCATTATCTGTGTATTAATTCTGATTTTCTTAATCTACTATGAATAATACTAAATGTTTAAAACTGCCTTTATTTTTCTTTTGGTCTTCTTAATTTAAATATCTGTTCCTTAATGTGTTCTTTCTAGGCAAGAAACAGAGTTATTGGAAAAAATCAAAATAGATGCTAAGACTTTGCTCTTATGGGAAAATTTAAGAAAAAAAATGTTAGTTTTAGGTTTTGGTCAATTAATAATAAGAACTGAAGGAATAATTCACTTTGAAAAAAATGTAAAATGTTGATTTTTAGATTTCAGTTACATTGTTTGTTCATATTGTCCATTTTATTGTATCTGAGTAGGGATATAGTTTGAGAATGTATACTGTCGTTCCATTTTTCATATGCATTGCAGTGGATGCTTCAAATTGATGATCATTGATACAAACATTAGTAGTTACATGTGATTTGTTCGATTTTATTTGAATGTATGACTTATATATCTGTACCCTTTCTTTGATTGCTGCTGTTCATTTATTTAAGAAATCATAACTATAATACTTAGTTGTCCTTCAGGTCTCTATTTCTTTTCTTATACTAAATTCCCTGGTTCCTTTCTCATCATGAGCTATTTTGGACTAAAATTCTAGATTATGTTAAGAAGACTGTATCCAAGGTTTGGTTAGGAAGTTGCTGTATGTTTTTAAGTACATATTAATATAATTTGTTATAGATAGAATGCTTCTCATACTAAATGGACTAAATGATTGCTATTTTAAAAAATATAGTCATGTTACTGAAATATATTTAGTAGCAGAATCTGAGAAGAGTATTTAAAACCAAGGCAAAGATACTTTCCCAAAGGTTTTACTTTTCATGCTTGAAAAATAAAATGATATATGGGCTACCATTTGTTTTTGAGCAAGCTAATAGAGAGGCCACATTGCTTGAGGTTGCCCATCAAGGAAACTACAAACTTAGTTTTCAGTTTTAGATTCAACTATTGTCCATTCTCATCCATGACCAGCCCAGCAAGCATGGAAGGTCATTAGTTATATTTCATAAGCAAAAAAGTGATGAAAATCCAGAAATTGGTGAGCCTTGTTTTGCCACTTATGATTCAATAGAATTGCTCTTAACCTGTACTAATAAATGATACCCTAAAACAGACATTAGTTTAGATTTCACAGACTGATACGGCACTGGACAGGATGACACTGGATATTAGGGAGATCTTGGGCTTTAAAGCAACAATGACACAATCATCTTATTATATGTTTGCCAAAAAATAGCTTATGAATCTTGTGTATTAGATTAATGTCTCATTGCTTGAAGTGCATATCACTAAACAACACACAAACAAAAATAACTAAGCTAAATTTTCAGGCCTGAAGTTCTGATAAATATTGAAATCCATTTCAAGATTTCCAAATGCAG
The DNA here is from genome assembly GCF_000001405.40 of Homo sapiens. Lineage (NCBI taxonomy): Eukaryota > Metazoa > Chordata > Mammalia > Primates > Hominidae > Homo > Homo sapiens. The sequence goes on along the minus strand of NC_000004.12, from coordinate 134,339,684 downwards.
TATGTCATATAATGTCAGTTTTTGCTTGTTTTCCTAATATTTATTTTTCTTTTTTAAGCACAGAATTACATCTACGTGCATTAATCATAAGCCTGTTAGTAAATGGTTTCAATGGTATGGCAGCTACCATGTACTGGATGAAAGCGCATATTTAGTTTGATCTCTATATGTACACATACTGATTTTAAGTATGGTTAATGAAATAGGGACTTTCATGTATAAGTACTTCACGTTGTTATTTTCATACTGTATCGACACAAATGCACAGAGAGAGATAGTCAATTTATTTGTCAGTGTTTCAAATGTATTAGCTGGTTTTAAGCAGCTAAAGGTGAATAAACTAAGTTATGGATACATTAAGTAACTTATTTAAAGTAACACAGGGGTGAGGGGAAGAGTTGAGATAAGAAGTCGAAAAGCATATTCTTTCCTGTGATGCAAAAGATCATATTTAATACATGCTCAGCACTATCTCAAACTTATATATAGATAATAAATTAATTATTCATATCTTTCTACCCTTGGCTTATTTTTTATTTAATTATTACTATATATATATTTTTGAGACAGAGTTTTGTTCTTGTCCAGGCTGGAGTGCGATGGCACGATCTCCGCTCACTGCAACCTCTGCCTCCCGGGTTCAAGTGATTCTCCTGCCTCAGCCTCCTGACTAGCTGGGATTACAAGTGCCCACCACCACGCCCAGCTAATTTTTTGTATTTTTAGTAGAGGCGGGGTTTCACTATGATGGACAGGCTAGTCTTGAAAGCCTGACCTCAAGGGATCCATCCTCCTCAGCCTCCTAAACTGCTGGGATTACAGGCGTGAGCCACCGTGCCTGGCCGACTTATTTTTTTAATGTAGCTGTCTCCTGAATAAACCATAATGTATGAAAGTATACATTTCAAACACTAAGCTAATAGAAGATGTAATTTGACATATGAGCCTTGAACAGATGTTCTGTTTGTACTTACATCTGATATGAAGATTTTGTATGCATTGGATTTTCTTTTTAATTTAAGATACAGTTGTTTTATAAATGTGACCTTTAGTTCTAATTTTTAAAAATCAATGTTTTAATGTTAAATGACAAACACTGAAAACCCTTAAGGAAAAAAATATCTTTTGAAGTAACCTTCAAACAGTTTGTTTGATGAAGGGGTTTTTCTGAATGAGCAATTACTCAGTTATAAAGATTTTGGCCATATTTTTATATGTGACCTTTGATGGTTCAGATTTATGGTACTTAATGTACAGTAAAAACAAACCATTCTTTATTAGAAACAGTCAAAGAAAATTGGGCTTCTTTCGATAATATGAAAAGCAGAATGAAATTAGAAAGATGTTGCAAAGATTCATGTGTTCTAATAAGTATTTTTGCTATTGTTCCTCATATAAATGAGCAAAAATTGCTCACATCAAATAAACTACAGCAAAGATAACTTGTCATAACCACTTCCAAACGAATATTTAAAAAGAAACTTCCTGAAAACAGCTGGCAGCTGAGTCACACACAAAATCAGGTACACATTAAAGCGTCAGCCGGAGAGCTGGAAACAGACTCATTGAAATGATGTCCTAAACACTTTAATAGGAAGAGTGCAAAGGCTTCAAAGAGTTTGAGAGCAGATGTAAAACACTATGGAGCTTTAAAGATCACGCTTGGGTATGTGTATGTCTGTCTGCATGTAAACTGTGTGTATGTTTCTGATAAATGTTGGATGATTAGTAGAATTACTGAGTAAGTAGATGACAGGATATAGACTGCTTGACACAATCATGCTTGGGTATGTGTATGTGTGTCTGCATGTAAACTGATGTGTATGTTTCTGAAAAATATTGGATGATTAGAATTACTGAATAAGTAGATGACAGGATATAGATTGCTTGACACAAAGATTATATTTAGCAGTTGCCATGTTGAGCCAAAGACAACATAGCTGAAAGGTTCTCTGAAAGATTTTCTCGCTGTTATTCACATTCTGTTTCTTGTTGACTTTGGGCAAATTATCAAAGCATAGCACAAATTGTTGCATGATTCAGTTTTCAACTGGAAGTGTTAACTAAAGGTACTTCCTTTATTTTTTTCCTTTACTAAACTTTATTTACTTGGTTAGCCATCCAGAAATACCAACTTTAGCATATTCTCTATTCTGAATGAAAGCCAGAATCTGACATATATTTTTAAATATTTTAGGAAACTGTAACACCAGTGTTCTTACATAAGCTTTTTTTCTTTCCATTGTATTTAGATCACACATGAAGACAGATATCTACATCACCTTAGTTCAACGCACTTCTGCAAGAATTAAGAATTGAACTGTACTAGGCTAGGTGCAGTGGTTCAAGCCTGTAATCCCAGCACTTTGGGAGGCCGAGGCAGGTGGATCCTGAGGTCAAGAGATCGAGACCATCCTGGCCAACATTGTGAAACCCCGGCTCTACTAAAAATACAAAAATTAGCTGGACGTGGTGGTGTATGCCTGTAATCCTAGCTACTCGGGAGGCTGAGGCAGGAGAACCACTTGAACCAGGGAGTCAGAGGTTGCAATGAGCTGAGATCACGCCACTGCACTCCAGAGACAGACTCCGTCTCAAGAAAAAAAAAAAAAAAAGAATTGAACTGTACTAAAACATTGTGTATGAATAACACAAACCAAAATAACCTAACATGACTAGCAAAATCATCACCATGGATAAGTGAATATAATTTAATTTATATTACTTAAGCAAATCTCAGCTATAAGAATGAAGTGCAAATCAAAACCACAATGAGATACCATCTCATGCCAGTTAGAATAGTGATGATTAAAAAGTCAGGGAACAACAGATGCTGGAGAGGATGTGGAGAAATAGGAACGCTTTTACACTGTTGATGGGAGTGTAAATTAGTTCAGCCATTGTGGAAGACAGTGTGGTGATTCCTCAAGGATCTAGAACTAGAAATACCATTTGACCCAGCGATCGCATTCCTGGGTATATACCCAAAGGATTATAAATCATGCTACTATAAAGACACATGCACATGTATGCTTATTGTGGCACTATTCACAATAGCAAAGACTTGGAACCAACCCAAATGGCCATCAATGATAGACTGGATTAAGAAAATGCGGCACGTATATACCATGGAATACTATGCAGCCATAAAAAAGGATGAGCTCATGTCCTTTGCAGGGACATGGACGCAGCTGGAAACCATCATTTTAAGCAAACCATTACAAGAACAGAAAACCAAACACCGCATGTTCTCACTCATAGCTGGGAGTTGAACAATGAGAACACATGGACACATGGCGGGGAACATCACATACTGGGGCCTGTCAGGGGGTAGGGGGCTAAGTGAGTGATAGCATTAGGAGAAATACCTAATGTAAAAGACGAGTTGATGAATGCAGCAAACCAACATGGTACATGTATACCTATGTAACAAACCTGCACGTTGTGCACATGTACCCTAGAACTTAAAGTATAACAAAATTTTTTTTAAAAAGAATGATACGAGTGCTCTTTTAAAAAGTAGGTTAAAAACTCATATTAAATTAAAATACTATAGCTGAAAATAGACCTATATTATGGTAGAAAAGAAAATTTTTAATATTGTTCACCCCAATAATATAGTACAAATCCAGCTAATACACAGTTAGGGAAAGCTTAGCACAGACAAATTAAAAAGTATTAAACAAGAGCAAATACCTCTCCATGCTTTCAGAAATTATTTATTTTGAATCTGGTAATGTATTAGTTCATTCTCACACTTCTATAAAGATACTACCTGAGAATGGGTAATTTATAAACAAAAAAGGTTTAATTGACTCACAGTTCTGCATGGCTTGAGAGGCCTTAGGAAACTTCCAACCATGGTGGAATGCAAAGGGGAAGCAAGGCACATCTTACATGGCATCAGGAGATAAAGAGAAGGGGGAAGCACCAGACACTTATCAAACAACCAGATCTCGTGAGAACTCACTCACTAACAACATGGGGATACTGCCCTCATGATCCAATCATGTGCACCAGGCCCCTGTCTGGACGTGCGGGGATTACAATTCAGATTACAATTTCAGATGAGATGTGGGTGAGGAACAGTCAAACCATATCAAGTAAGTACCAATTATTACTGTTCATATGCTGGGAAATAAAATTAACTATTACACAACGATACTCTGTGTCAAGAGCTGAGATGAGCTGGAGAGAGTTGAGCTGCCAAGTGTTAGAGTAGCTGATTAAAGCACCAAGCCAGCATGGAAGGGACAGTGAAGCCTTAATCACTGCCATACTATGGGCAAGAGGCTACACAGAAAAAGTTCCTCCATCACCATTCCATTTCTCTACATGGACTGGAGATGAGGATCAGAAGGATCTGCGCAGACCTAAAGAATGTCTCACTAATAAAGGAGCCCAGAAAAACATTCTCCTCCTGCCATTTGATAGGCCTTGACGGGGCAGAGGAAGGGGAGGTGAGCTACAAGGAGAAACATACTGAGACTGAGTGGAGAAAAATGTCGCCACCTCCCTACTCTTCCAGTAAGGGGGTCTCAGGGAAGGAACCTGAGCAAGACCTTGGTCTAAGCCCTCTGTAAAGAAGCCTCTGAATGGAGGCAGCTGGAGAGGCAGCTGGGCTAGGAATACAGATACACATAAAAGTATGACATAGGAGTACAGGAGTGCCTGCATCCTTGACTGCAACTTTCTTCAGAGACTGCACTAAATGGCTGTGTACCATGTCTGGTGGGCAGGTAGCAGCTTTCCCTAGAGAAGGCCTGCCATGTAAAGCTTTTGCAACTGCCTATAGAGGGGCTTGAAAACACATGCACACACACATACACACATGCACACACACATCCACGCACATACACACACAGTTTTTGGTCTGGAGCTAGACTACTTACCATCCACAAACAACTAAATAATAATTTTTAAAAGAAAAAAATTAATTATTTATACTTATTTCTCTTAACTTTTAAACAATATTTGATAAATAATACTTTATCAAAATAAATTGGCACAGATAAATCTATGGTTGAGATGAAATTAAAGCAAAATAACTGTAGGCTTCTATAACCTTTAAATATTTGGTAAATATTTATAATTTCAGCTTAATAGAATGAATGGAAAAAATTACATATGAATATCAATGTAATGATGAAGCCAAAACACTGACTGCCTTTTAAAATTATTCAACCAAAAAAAAAACTCTCTGAATGAAATTTCAGAGCCAAAAATAAAATAAGGTGGCAATATACACTAAATTCTACTTGACATACAATAGTTTCAGATCATTGCTACTTGAGTCATTTAATAAATTTTAAAAAAAAAGTGCCTGCTGCTTTGATAATTAAGAGATTATCATAAAAAACTAGTATGCCTCAATCGGGAAGATGTTGGGAAATAGCATGTGATGCTTGTAGAAAAATGAAAAGACCATATTGGACAGTAAAAAAATTTACATTTGGGGATTACATTGGTTTTAAGGGGAAGGGCATTAAATAACAGAATGAAAAATTTGGATTTTATCTAAAAGACAAGTAGAAAACCTGATATTTTGTTTAAAGAAACAAAATAATAAAGTGGATATGAATATATATAGAAAAAAGATTCAATATACAATATATATTTATATATTATTTAATAACATATTTTTCAATATGTTATTGAAATAAAATTCACATACCATAAAATTCACTTTTAAAATGTACAATTTAGTGATTTTTAATGTAATCATAGAGTTCTGCGACTATCACAAGAAAACAGAAACAAAATTACAGTCATAAAGTTGCATGCTAATAAGTATATTCCATTCAGCAGCGTTATGTAGTTGTACCAAATAATATCAAAATGAAAGAGTAAAATAATGAGTTGTTGAACTGGGGCACTTGGTTAGATATCTAGAAATGATTATGATCAATTAGTAACATATTAGTTAATCATCGAAAAGGTAAGAAACTGTTTGAAATCCTCCCATGTGTAATTTGGAAAAAATAATATCTTGGGATATTCAATGCAATTTTTAAAACCTAGTTTTACTTTTAATAGATAAAATGTGATCATGGCAAATTTTTATATTTGTTTTGAAAAAATCTAGGTTATTTTATAATCTAAGGAAGCTGCAGGGAGAATAAGATTTGTGGCAATTTGCACACAAAAGTGGACTGCCAAGTATGCTTAACATTAATTGCAATTGCTACCTAATTTTGTAACAGAAGCAAGTAAATGAGAAGACCTATTTTAGTAGTTAATTTTCTGAACATTATGACTTGCACAAAGTAACAACTCAGAAAATATTTATAAATGGAGCTTAATACAGTGAATTGATGTGAAACTACATATCAATGTCAATACATTGATAGAGTCAAAAAATGTGACCGCCTTTTCAAAATGAAAAACATATTTTCTCTCTGAATGAAATTTCTTAGCCAGGAATAACATGTGACAATTAACATACACTAAATTCCAGTTAGTGTTCAATAGTTTCATATCATTGCTCTTTGATTAATTAAATGAATAAAAATGAAAATAGAAATATGTTCTGCTTTGATCATTCTCTGCATAATATTTAGCTCATTTTCTTAAGTCCTCAATTTACTTTGAGCACTAAAAAATAATTTGTGTTTTCCCTTGCTTTGAAAAGTATGCTATTACAATTTAGTCTTGTTAAATATGTGTTTACAAGTGTTGCTATTCATGTCAAATTTACTTGTTTCCTTAGCACTTCTCCATTTAAGTAAAAAACAAACAGCTTCTTTTATCCATTTATTTAAATTTTTATCTATGTATTGCCAAAACATGAAAACTTAACACTTTTGAATTGATGCAGGCTGCTTCTAAGTGAAAAATATGCACATCAAGGGCAATGCAATTTATTCTTACTTTAGAGACTCTAAGTGGAGGAGAGGTAGAATATACTGCTGTTTTGCTCAGATCTGAATAAGCAATCTGACCATATAACAACCAGCATCCATCACTGTTATACACAGTGATCTGCGCGAGCTCTTGTTTAGGATGTACACTTTGGCCATCTTTAAAATAGGGATTTCTTGTTAAAGAGGTGTTAAAAAAAAGTTTCCATTTAAAAATCTGTCCTTACTTTAGGGAGAATCATGGATTGGGAAAAATACAAATTTCAGAATACTTCTGGGAAAGGTTTAATTTGTTAGTTCTTCACTGGTTTATAATTGCTATATGTGAAGATAATTAGAGAATAAAAGCTAACTCCATGCTAAAAAAAATAATCTATCCTTACTTTAGGAACACCTCAGAATTATGCACATTTGACTTTTTTCTATTGCTGATTTGATTTCCAGCTAAAGCATTGCTAAAGGGAGTAGGACAGAGACACCAGGAAGCAAACCTCTTGTCCTACAACATTAGGGCATTTTTGTTTTTACATGTTAAGGGGCTTGACCTGTAAGTTTCTGTGAAGAATTTGGGATACGGAGTAGAAAAATACCTTCCCTAATAGGTAAAATATGGTATAAAGCATACTTAAATTATGCATATAATTATGCCATTATTTTCTCTAATGTATAATAAAAAAGATAATTAAATGTCACGAGTTAGGAACGAGGATAACAGTAATGATAACATAATGTGATTAGACTAGATTATCTCCAGGTTTTTATTTACTTATTTTTAAAATTTGTTACCTCTTTGATGTGATTGCTTTCAACCATTACTAGGCAATCCTATAGTCAATACAGGATTATTCAGTTACTATATATATACTCTTAAAGTTAATTTAGAGTTAATAATAAACCAGAATTACATGTTTTATATGCACTAAAATCTCTCCAGAATTCCCAACTTAAAAATTCTTTAATCAGCTTAGTTGACTTCAATGTTTTTTTAAAAGGCAAAAGGCCAAGAGAGTTTTATGAAACTGTTATGTATCCATCTACAAATATTTCAGAAGTGCACTGCTCTTACATATAAAAAAGTCATTTTGATTGCACTTTGGAATCCAGGGGTTAAAATGTACAGCTTGTATGACTTCAGTTAAATAGGCTGTCAACTGTCCAGGCAACTGCAGTACAAAGCTAGGCATGCCTTTAATCTTCAAAGAAAAAAAAGTAAGGAGAATAAATTCAGTTATTAGCTTGAAGGTAAAAACAAATGAAAGGATAAGGTGAAAGCAAGCAGTATTAGAGTTCATAGATTTCTTATTAGAAATTCGAAATTACATTATCAGTGTATGGTAATTATATATATACATATGCATATATATATACATATGCATATATATATATGCACACACACACACACCATACACATGCACTCACATACAAGTACACTCATGGGTAACTTAATGACAGAGATAATTTCGGAGGAATGAATCCTTGGATGACGTCCTTGCTTATGCAGACATCATGGAGTGCACTTATACAAACCTAGATGATATAGCCTACTACACAACTAGGCTGTGTGGTATGGCCTGTTGCTCCCAGCTACAAACCTGTATGGCATGGGATTTGTGAATCTAAACATATCTAAGCATAGAAGAGGTACAGTAAAAATACAATATAAAAGATAAAAAATGGTACATGTGTATAGGGCACTTATAATGGATGAGAACTGTAGTATTAGAAGTTGTCTGGGTGAGTCAGTGAGTGAGTGGTGAGTGCATGTGAAGACCTAGGACATTACTTTCCACTACTGTAGAATTTATAAACCCTGACCAGAGGCTACACTAAATTTATTCAAAAAACATTTTCTTTGTTTAATAATAAATTAAACTTAGCTTCTGTAACTTCTTTATAAAGTATTTAATTTTTTTTGCCTTTTTTACAACAACGCTTAGCTTAAAACGCAAATATGTTGTACAGCTATACAATTATTTTTCCTGTATTTCCTTATTTTATAAACATTTTCCTATTTTTTGATTTTTTTTTTGTTTACTTCTTAAACTTTCCTGTTAAAAATTAACACACATTCACATTAGTCTAGGCCCACATAGGGCCAGGGTTATCAATGTCACTGTCTTCCCTCTCCTCATCTTCTCTCAGTGGAAGTTCTTCAGGGGCAGCAACATACATGGAGCTATCGTTTTCTATGACAACAATGCCTTCTTCTGAAAGACCTCCTGAAAAACTTGTCTGAGGCTATTCTATAGTTAATTTTTTTAAATAAATAGGAGTATACTCTAAAATAACAATAAAAATCATAGTATAGTAAGTCCATAAGCCAGTAACATAGCCATTTATTTTCATTATCAAGTATTATGTACTGTGCCTTATTGTATGTGTTATACTTTTATATGACTGGCAGGGCAGTAGGTTTGTTTACACCAGTATCACCACAAGCACATGAGTTTCTGCTACAGCAATCTGACAATTATATCGTCACTAGGCAAGAGGGATTTTTCAGCTCCATTATAATCTTATAGGACCATTGTCACCTATGCAGTCAATCACTGGCCAAAACATCATATGGACAGCATGACTCACCATTTTCCAATGATAAATTACATAATTAAGTAAATTATTAACAACACAACTAATTGTATAGTTCTGAACAACTAATTAAAATATTTGCTTTGAGAATATTTAGGTTAGTCCAGGTTTGATTATTTTATTTGTACCTATGAAAATATTTGTTTTACTTTTATAACTTGCATAGCTTTTGCATAGTTTTGATATAGCCATAAAATTAATAATTATGTCAAACTTATATCCTTGTAATATTCATAATGTCTTATTTTTTAAAATCATTTGGTCTTTACAACACTGTCAATTCAAAGACAAGCTTATTTTTTTAAATGTATTTATTTTTATCTAATTTATTCTTTAGATTCTAAATGCACTTTTGGGATTACCTTAGTAATTTATGCATTTCAAAAATGATTGTTTTGGTGGGTATATGTGCCAAGACAAGCTAGTTTTTTACTAAATATTTCCTATTTTTTAATATTTTAAATATACTTCATCACCATACCTAATATTTTTGTATTTTTATTACAAACTACAAATATGCATTGCTTGTATTTTAATTTAAAATTTAAATTTGTTAAACAAATGTATATACATACATTTTAGTCCAAAAATTTCACATGGCTACTCCATTCGCCATGCAAATTTGTATGTCCAGACAATTTCTTCCAACATATTTAAATAATATATTTAATAACTTTTTTGAGTTCGCTACAGAGTTTGACAGATAGAAAATCAACTATTTGGGGGCTAAGGTAAAATTTAGTTATCTTACTATTGCACCCAATGGACTCACATACACACACACATAATATTTTTTCCTATTCATCTAATATAGATTTTTTTTTTACCTTAACCTCCATCATGGTTATATAAGTCCTTAGATTTTTTAAACTTTTATTGTACTCTATTCTTTAAAAAGGTACAATATGCTACAGGTTTGTTATACTTCAATAACAGGGAAATGAATTAATTAAATTAATTGGGTGAATACATTAAATGACTTACTTTTAGTGAATCTATTCCTTTTCTTCACAATTGGCTGCAAAAGTCCAGTCGTTTAATAACAATTGCTACCCACACCCTTAACCCATCACAGCCTGAGAATCATGGGACACACTGTGTGGGAGGGAGCCGTGGAAAGCCAGGATGAATGGGGACAGCATGTGAGGGCCTGGTCAGGCACCTGCACCTCGTGTCACTGGCTTCTGGGAGCACAGAATCAGGCTGGGCACAGAGGCCTCTTCTCCACCCAGGCACCAGCAGGGGAGCTCCATCCAAAGGAAGCCAGAGCTCCCCGCCAGGCTAGCCAAGGAGCATGAGGGGCCAGGCCTGGCTGGAGGAAGGAAGAGGAGAAAAGAAGCGACTCTGATCTGTCACCACACTTCGGTGCTCTGGCCTGCCTCTGCCACATCCGGCTGCTGGGGAGCTGGCCTCGGCCCTCTGAGGGGCCACTGGCACTCAAATCGGCCTTGATTTTTCGGCCTTCTCAGATCTCACTGCCTCATCATGGGCTTTCTGCTACTCTGGTAGCTTTTTGGCCTCTTGGCTTTTTCGCCTTTTGTCAAACATGATCTTCTGGTACAGGTACTTCTCCGGCTTCTTCATCATCATAGTGGCCAGGCGCCTGGCCTCGCTCTCCTCCTCCTGGGCCAGCTGCTGCTGCTTCTCCAGCTTCTCGTGTCCTGCTATCACCCTGGGCTTCTTCCCCTCCGTTCTCTGCTCCTCCGGTGCTGCCAGCCAGGCCTTTTCCTCCGTTTCCGAACCACTCTCCCCTTCATTTTCTCCCCCTTCATCACCATCACCTTGGTTGTCTTCCTCCTCCTCCTCTTCTGACTCATTCAAGTTTCCTGGGTCCTCTCCCCGCTGCAGAGCCAGAAGCTTCAGCTTCTCAGATGGGATGTAATCTCCTTCCTCCTCAGTCACAAAGGGTGAAGAATGTAGGGGTAGCTGCATTGCAGGGAAGTACTCTGCTCCAGGGAAGTGCAGTCTAGCGTTCACGGAGTCAAACAACCACTGGGGCTCCACGTAGTGTCTGCCAATAACTGAGGTCTGCTGCCCAGGCCAGTCGACAATCTGGTGGGTGCTGCATAGGTGGGACCCATGCACAAAGGCTTTTCCCAGGATATGTCCCCCCCCGCAAAACTCCTGATGACGAAGGCTAGGGCTTCAGGGGACACCTGTCAGTTAACGAAGAACTTCAAGCCCTCAAAAAGCTTCTTGTGCTTCTCCTGCGCCTCCAGCTCCTTCCTGTGGTCCTCCTCCTGCACCGCCAACTCCCCATTGGCGGGAAACTCATCCACCTCGGCCTCTTCCTCTGTGATAGGCACCACCGCGCGGGCCAGGCTGGCACTGAGGGCCTCCAGTTTCTCCACTGGGCTCTCTGAGTCCAGCGCGTAGGTGCCCTCACTGGCTTTCCCCTCTGCTTGGGCCTGACCCTCAGCTTGAGGGGATAGTGAACGTTGAGCGACTGGCAGAGGCTGAAGTTCATCAATGAAGCCCAGTAGGGTGCTGTAGAATTAGGTGAAGGTGGCCATGACTCTGTAGTCCACGTCTGTCCGGTGGTCGTGGGAGAAAGCACAGGGGGTGATCCACACGATGGGCTGTGCCAGCACCTCAGCCTGGTAGTAAATGCGTTTGATGGACAGGAAGACCTTGCTCGGGGCACAGGCAGCGATGATGTAATACGTGAACTCCGCTGCGAGCCTGCAGCACAGCGGAACGATCTGCACATGGCACTTGTCAGTCCGGGGGAAGGTGGAAAAGAGGAAGCACGTGGAGAAGGCGGAGCCGCCCAGGTCCCCCCGGGCGTCGATGAATGTGGGGTACCATTCCTTGATGATGTGGTCATGTTTGTAGTCGGCCTTATTGTCCTTTAGATGTTCCACGGTGTTCCGCTCGCTCTTCTCATAGGCCTCCCGGGGCTTCCGGACAGACACCTTGCATTCTCGGACCTTGTTGACGATGAATTCTTGGATGAGAAACCTGATATCTTCCATGAGGTAAGAAGTTTGGGCCGCAGTAGCACCTTTATTAACCTTCTTCTCGTGTTTGGGTTCATGGGGATAAATGCCCATCAGGGTGCACGGCCGCCTCGAGTCAGCCATGGTCAGGGGGAGCTTCTTTCGGGCTTTGCTTTTGGTGTTGTGGTTGGCTGGCGAGCCTCGTTCCTGCTGCTGCTTCTCAAGGCCTCCTGTAGCTCCATGTTGAGGAGCCCACGAGTGCCGCGGACTGACAGTGCCACTTCCTCCGCGAACTGACAGTGCCACTTCCTCCGCGAGTCTGTATTTGTCCTCTGGTAAAAATCTTTTACTCTCTAAATATAAACCAAACTTTATATTAATTAATTTCGTAACATTCAGTCTTCAGTTTTAACATTTAAATATATATTTCAACTTCGGGGATAAAAATGTATTACAAAAAATGTTTACATTGCCTTTTAATGACCTATAGGCTACTCTATTATGGTTCAAGTAACTATTACTTTATTGAAAAAAATTATTTAATGGTCTCATTCCTATAAAGTTCAAACAACGTGTTATTCAGTATCATGGTCTTTCTGAAACTGCAAGCAGTTTTTGTTTTTGTTTTTGTTTTCTATCCCACTGGGCACATAAAGAGATAACTAAACAGCCATAGGACAGTACAGAACAAATGTGGGCAAAAGTCAAATCTACAAATGATGAACTCTTCCCTTTATATCCAACCCAATAGGTGAGCACCTTTAACTTATTTTTAGAACAATTATTTCGCAAATACAAAAGCAAAAACAATGCATATACTGAAACACAAACAAGAAAATAATATATAGCATGCAATAATTAGAAAGTTCCCTTCAGACATCTCATTTGCCATGTAATGTTTACCTTTTAGACCATTTAAATTGCATTCACACGATTTCTGCACACATATGCTCATATATTTTATTTTGCAACTTTCTCTTTTTTGTTAAGCAAAATGCCATTGATATATTTCCAGGTCAGTACTACCCATCTACCTTGCTGTGTATAATGGTTCCAGAGTATTTCTTACTATGACCAGAGCATACTTTATTGAATCATTTCTCTACTTATAAATATTTATTTCCTATACCAAACATTCAGGATTTTTTTATACAGTATTAACTAGAAAAATTTATATGGTCAAATTCTTAAACATTTCTCAAATCCTATGTAGGATTCCCTTATTCTCATTTATGCTTTCAATGTTTCTTCTGAATTTCTCCATTAAAACATCTCTCACTTCAATTCAATGATATATTTATAAGTTTATATGCTACTCTATTGAATGAGTTGTTTTTTGGCAACTGAGTTTCCAAAACACTATCTACTCTCAGGAAATTTATTTTGAGTTCAAGGGTAAATGAATAAATGAATTTCTCATTGCCAAGTTACTTTTGTTCAGTTGTCAAATTATTTTATTCATTTTCTTAGTTAAGGCTGTCAAAATTAACCATTGCTATCTTATTTTTACTTTTTCCTTTATGCATAGCCTGGTAATTTTCTCCTCTGTGTTTTTGAAATTCATTTATTCGTTCAGAACCAATTGGACTAGAAGCTGGAGAAAGCAGGCTAGGGTCAGAACTGCAAACTCTCTGTCCTCATAATCTTAAGTGTAAGAGATGAGAGACAAATAAAAACATAGGTATGTATGTGTAAATGTCCATATATTTTAAGAAGAAAAATTGGAGCATTATAGTAACCTATAACAAGGAGACATAATTTGTCAGTTACCATATTGTGCAAAACCTTGTATGTAAAAATTTGGGGGTGTTATGCTAATAGCATTGAGATCAGTTTAACGTTTTTATACACTGAGGGGACATGTTCGGGTTGTCATTTTGGAAATATAACTCCAGCTGTAATATATAAAAGAAGCTGAAAAGGGTAAAAACAAATGTAGGAATGTAGGAGGATGTTGCATCAATACAGAAAAAAAATGGGATGATAGTTTGGATATAAGTAGTAAGAATGGAGATGGAGAGAAGTTCTTAAATACATTGGTAATATTGGCAGGACTTGTTATGAGACTAAATATGGGGCTATCAAGGAAAGAGAATTTGGCAAGGATTGCCTGCAACTTTTTAAATTTTGGCTTTAATATCTGAATAGATGACAGAACAAAGATTGGTTTGATTGAAAAGATAATGAGCCCAGATATGTAGTTGGGTTTTGGGTTCCTTTAAGGAATCCAAGTTGTAGATACTTAATAAGTAGTCGTATACACTGATCTCAAATTAAGTAGGTTTTCATATGCATGAGAGGAGTTTGAAAACTCTAGCTTCAAGAAATAGCAAAAATTGAAATATACAACAATAATTAATGGAGAAGGATTAGCAGTGTGAACAAAATTATCCATACAATTGTGAAACTATGGTTCCTTCTAAAACTTTCCACAGATAAGTAATTATCAAAAAGTCTATATAAAAACAATTAGAGAATGTTAAAGTACTATTTTAGCATGTCTGAATTTTTGACAAAGAAAATTAAAATATAAAGTTTTGGTGTTTATTTTTATTTGCTGTGTTTTTAAAATAAGCTTTAGCCCACCTTATGGAGTTCCTTCTTTGGTATTTTGCATTTCATAAATATGACTTTATGACAACAAAAATAACCTTCAATTCATGGTACATTGATGCAAAGGAAGAAAGGTGAGGGGACAATATTACATAACTTGATTTAGAAATGCATGGATGATTTCATTTTTATTTTGACTTTTATTTGAAAACTGAACCCAGATAAGGCCATATTTACTCTACTCCATATAGAGTAGTTCAAAGATAGGATTTCTCAAAGCAGAGCTTTGATGCTTACTCAGAATCAGTGGAAAGACATTTTATTCAAAAGTCGAAAGTGTGCTTTCACTTCTGTTATTTATGACTGCTGTCTCACAGTGTCATCACCCTCCATGAAGCATTATATCCCTCTGACTTGTTGCAGGGTAATAATGCAAAAATATATGTAATAAAAACTGCCACATAGTTTCCCAAAAAGTACAAAAAATACTAGCTTTTTACATTGTATAATTTTCCACACATACAGTTTCCATTCAAATTGCTGGTCAAGTTTCAATAATTTGTTCAAATTTAAGCTTAATGCTCCCTGGGACGTCTACTAATCTTTAATAAAAGAACAAGGTAATTGGTTCATTTACAGTTTTATTCATTTAGATTTCATCAAGAATATTTTAGTAAGAACTGTATTTTATTTGAAGAAAAAGTATTTTTCTTCTTAATAGGTGATTTCACTTTAAATTTTAAATAGGAAATACAATTGACCCTTCTTCAAAGGAATGGAATTTGTATTTAAAAATCTGAGTCTCCTTTTGAAAAGAGAGCATTATGTTTTTTCCTAAAGTGTTAAGCACACAGACACACATTTTATATATTTATATATATACACACGTTTTATATATTTACATATACACACATTTTATATATTTATGTATATACACACACCTATTTTATATATTTATATATGAGATTTTTTACATTTATATATATTTATATGTGTGTGTGTGTGCATCTGTGTGTGTATTGTATGAGGTTAGAGAGAGAACAGACTTCAGCTAACATCCTTAATGCTCTGATATACAAGTTGAAGATTTGATCAAAGTATCAGTTATTTGAATTTTTAAAATACACACTGGAGATTCGTAACTGAAATTCTAATGCTGAATATGTTAAGGATAATGGACAGTAAAATAAAAGGAACAATGCATTCTTGGAATAAAGAAAGGATAAAGAGTCAATCATTTTTCTTTTAAGCCTCTCTGGTTGTCTAAAATTGACACAGAGAATTCACTCTTCTTGAAGAGGACTCTGAATGTGAATGATTAGCATTACAGGAAAACCTAAAAGCAAGAGCAGGCCCCGACCACAGCATTACTGATTTGCATTCTACCTAAAATTATACTCTGATAGCTGTTCAGACTCCCGTCCTGTGCTGCAAAGTTTCCTCAAGTATTTGTCCTGCTCCTCTTAATACCTATAAAATACATCTCAATAGATATTTTAAGCTGACCTCTGTTATGTTTATGACAAAATATACAGAACAGCAAATAATTTGAAGAACTCAAGGAGAAAAGAACCCCTAACACTTCAGCAGTACAGAAAATAACCAGAATCTATCTCATCATATATTCATCCAGTCACTAATTTAACACCTGTTACATGTCAGGCTATATCCTTGGGATATATTGGTGAGCTAAATACATTGGTGAGCTAAACAACAGTTTGTACATATGTGAAACTTAAATTCTAGCATGGCATAGAAAACATTTCATGTTCTGATATTTTCTGTTTGTACTAAAATATATAGGTAAAGCAAATATTATAATAAGCACCATAGTGACCATGATACTTTGTCTTCAGTTGGCCACATTTAAGAGCATCTTTCTGTATTTGGGCATCATTCAGAGTTCATCAATATCAAGTGACTGCTGTCACAACTAAAGAAAAACTATGCACATTTGAAGACAGATGTAGTGAATGTCTGTATATTGCTTTAAAATCCATGCACCAGACTCCCATATTATCCAATAATGGCAATTTTGGACTCTTTTTGCAATGACTTTATAAATCCTTGCTTTAGGTATATTTGTTTTTTGGGGGGTGGGGGTTGTTTGTTTCGTTTTAGGCTGTCATCTCTGTTCACAGTCTAACACAGTGTTTTGTAGGATAACATTGAAGACATATTGTATGGTCCAGGGTGTGGAAGGAATAAATATTTGACTGTATATATTCTTACTTTATTCCTGAAACTTGTGGAAAGCAACAGGAAAGAGGAAATCATGAAGCCAGAAATCTTTAAAAATCACTATTTACAATGTCAATAAAATACAGCATGATTCCCTGTGCTTTTGTTATGTTGTAGGAAAAGATGTTTAAGAAGACATAAATTTATTTGAACTGCTGAGATTTTCTGACAATTTTTATCTCTTTTACCTTCCAAGTGTAAACAAGATAAAAGAAATATTATGCTTGCATTACTGTAGCATTGGCAGGGATAGGTTTTATGAATGTTATTGCAACTAAAGTTTTTGGTCATTGCAAGCAAATTGATCAAGTTCAACATTTCGAATTTTGCAAACCAAAGAAGCAAGAGTTACTTTCTCATCCTGCCATCTTTCTACTTAATTATAGAGGCAATAAAGTAACTTCATTTATCTGGTGATGATAAACTAATTTATATGATAAACACCCAATGCCTATTATGTGGCAATAATGATGATTACCTGCAAATGTTTCTTATAAACAGTTGCATAGAGCTTAGAAGGCTTCTATTCTTAAATTATTTTTGTCTCATGTGAACCATATTTCTCATATGAACCGTATTCATTGGAACAAAAAAACTCAACTCTTTTGGAAGAGCTCTGACATTTGGTGTGATTCTTTAACATACTGTTTGCGAGGACCCAATGGAATTAATGAGAGTGATGGAATTTCAGTCCACAGATTTGATTGAGTGAATGATAATAGAATTTAGGAATGGAACACAATGGGGACAATGTTGAAAATAGGTTATCTGAAAACAGATGTACACATTTTGGAGTCAATATTCTTGCATTATCTCTTTTATTATTATACTTTAAGTTCTGGGGTACATGTGCAGAATGTGCAGTTTTGTTACATAGGTATACACGTGCCATGGTGGTTTGCTGCACCCATCAACCCATCACCTACATTAGGTATTTCTCCTAAAGTTATCCCTCCCCTAGTCCCCCAACCCCTTGACAGGCCCCAGTGTGCGATAGTCCCCTCCCTATGTCCATGTGTTCTCATTGTTCAACTCCCTCTTATGAGTGACAACATGCGGTGTTTGGTTTTCTGTTCTTGTGGTAGTTTGCTGAGAATGATGATTTCCAGCTTCATCCATGTCCCTGCAAAGGACATGAACTCATCCTTTTTTATGGCTGCATAGTATTCCACAGTGTATATGTGCCACATTTTCTTAACCCAGTCTATTATTGATGAACATTTGGGTTGGTTCCAAGTCTTTGCTATTGGGAATAGTGCTGCAATAAACATACATGTGCATGCATCTTTATAGTAGAATGATTTATAATCTTTTGGGTATAAACCTTCTCAGAGGAATAATGTAACTCACTCATTTAGTCTCTAAGAATATTTTTTCCTAATTTTTCACTTTAACTTGTTTTTCTCTCCAGTTTTAAGGGCTTCTCAATATTTTAGTTATACTTGATAGAGCCTGATAAAGGAGTGGAGTATCTTCTATTGGACAACTCTCTCTATAGGAGTAACTGCCAAAAAAATTTAGTGGCTAAAAATTTGACTTTATGATTCTGTAGGTAGATAATTTGGGCTGGATTTACTAGGCAGTTCTGATTTGAACCAGACATGGATTATCTCATCCTCATGCATCTGCAGTTAAATGGTGGGCCAGCTGTGACTGGTTGGTTATGATGGGTGGGACATCTGGGACCAACTTGCTCTTCTCTCTATGTGTTCTTTTATCCTACATTAGCCTTGCCTAAACTCATTCCCATGGTAGCCCTAGAGTTCCAAAGCCTCATTGTGCCAGCACTTTAAATATCCACTTGCATCAGGTTTTCTACTGTTCCACTGGCCTAAGCAAGTCATAAGCCTTGCCACCTTTCAAGAGATTTTAACGTAAACTTGACCTCTTGATAACTGGAGCTGCAGAGCATTTATCTTTTTTTGCCCCAATCTACCGTATTCCCTTTGAATAAAGCCACTAGGAATTTAATATTTAAGTCTCAGCAGTTCCTGTATTGAAGTGGTCACTTGAGGATAGGAGGGGCACTGAATTCTTCAATGTATATGTCAACATATTGACGTAAGACACAGGTTTCAGCATGGGCAGAGTTCTAAGGAATAAGGAAGTTCTAAGGAATTAGGGAAATTCAAATATTTTTATACTGTACTAGTAAAGGAAGTAAGATTAGGGTTTGTTCATAGAAAATGCTGCTGGGTCCATGAATAAGTAATGAGTATCTAGAAAGGCCAGCCCATGGGTGACTCAACAGATATCCTAAGAGGACTCTCAAAGGTTTCTAAGCAAATAGCTGCTGAGGTTTGCACTTTGGAAAGATCATTCTGGATGCATCATTTGGTAGTAATCAAGACTGAAATCCAGTAGACATTTAGTTGACTGTTATTTGAGTAAGATTCTGTTGTAGGTGCTGTTTGTTCTCCACTGGATCTCCTGTTAGCAGGATGACGTGCTTATCCCCCAGCTATTGTAAGTGCTGCCTGCTAATGGCTCACAGCTACCCCAGTTCCTAGATAATTGCTCCAGCTAGCAGAAGCCAACTTTGTTGGAATGTTATGTACACACCTGCTCATACTGAGGCAGTGTCCATTCATGAACTATTGATACAGGGGCAACTTTCCCTCAAAGGGGCAAAACACAACAGTAAGATTTCTATTTCAGAGGCCTCATCCTCCAATGTGGACTCAGCCCAGGGTATACTTTACCAGGATTAATAGTCTTGCTTGACCCTTCCCTTTTCCTTTCACTCACTTCAGACTATATTTTTTTTTATTAAAAGCTATCCTTCAGTATATAACTACTTCCCAAATCTCTGTCTCAGCCTCTGCTTTTAGATATCCTAATCTAAGATACATGTTATTACTTCCTGAAGTAAGCAACATGCATATTTTTTATCATCAAACAGAATATACAGCATATGAGCACAGAGCCCTTTCTCAGACCTTCTCTTGGGTTCTCTCTTGGTTTGATGCTGTGAAGAGTCCTCATAAAGCACTACTTATCTGACTCACTGAGCACATGTTCTGTGATGGGGTCATCAATTTTTTTTTTCTGTAAAGGTCAAGTAGTATATGTTTTTGGCTTTGTAGACCGTAAAATCTTAGTCACAGCTACACAACTCTGCTATTTTTGTGTGAAGAGAGCCTTAGATAATACATATAGAAAACGACGAATGGTGTAAATAAATAGTGGCTATAGAATTATTCCTTACACTATTGTTTCTTTTTCTTACTTGAATTTCTATGACACCACCCTCACAAACAGGTAGCATGTATCCCATTCATATTGCTGATACAACATTAAAATTTATGAATAGTTTAATTTATATGTGATATTACAACTGCACAAAGAATGCTTATTTTTCTCTGCTCCATTTGATTGTAGGGAATGCAGACATACCTCATTTTATTGCCCTATGAAGATATTGTTTTTTTCACAAATTGAAGATTTGTGACAAACTTGTGTCAAGCAAGTCTATTGGCATCATTTTTTTCAACTGTATATGTTCACTGTGTATCTCTGTATAACATTTTAGTAATTCTTGGAATGTTTCAAAAGTTTTTATTATATCTGCTATGATGATCTTCGATCAGTGATCTTTGATGTTACTATTGTAATTGTTTTGGAAAGCCACAAACTATGCCCATATAAGACAGGAAAAATAATCGATAAATGTTACATGTGTTCTGACTGCTCCACTGATCAGATGTTCTCCCCATCTCTCTCACTCTTCTCAGACATCTGTATTCCCGGAGTCACAACAGCATTGAAATTAAACCAATTAATAACCCTACAATGGCCTCTAAGCGTTAAAGTGAAAGGCAGAGTCTCATGTCTCTCACTTTAATTCAAAAGCTAGAAATGATTAAGCTTAGTGAGGAAGGCATGTTGAAAGCCAAGACAGACCAAAAGGTAGGCCTCCTGCACCAAACAGTTATCCATGTTGTAAATGAAAAGGGAAAGCTCATGAGGGAAATTAAAAGTGCTACTCCAGTGAACACACAAATGATAACAAAGTGAAATAACCTTATTGCTGATATGAAGAAAGTTTTAGTGTTAAATTCTTAAGCCAAGTCGTAAACCAGAGCAAAACCCTAACTCTCTTAAAATCTATGAAAATTTAGAGAGGTGTGGGAACTGCAGAAGAAAAGTTGGAAGCTAGGAGAGGTTGGTTCATGAGTTTAAGGAAATCATCTCTATAACAAAAAAGTGCAGGTGAAGCAGCAAATGCTGATGTAGAAGCTGTATCAAGTTATTCAGAAAACATACCTAAGATAATTAATGAAGGTGGATACACTTATCCACAAATTTTCAATGTGAATGTAACAGCCTTATAGTGGAAGAAGATGTCATTGAGGACTTTCATAGCTAGAGAGGAAAAGTCAGTGTATGTCTTCAAAGTTTCCAGGGACAGGTTGACTCTTTTCTTACAGGTTACTACAGCTGTTGACTTTAAGTTGAAACCAATATTCATTTACCATTCTGAAAATCTTAGGGCCCTTAAGAATCATGTTAAATCTACCCTGTGCTCTAGAAATGGATTAACAAAACCTGAAAGACAGCACATGTATTAAATCCAATGTCAAGACCTACTGCTCAGAAAAAAGATTTCTTCCAAAATATTACTGCTAACCAACACTGCATCTGGTCATCCAAGAGCTCTGGTGGGGATGTATAAGAAGATACATATATGATTTCATGCTTTCTAACACAACACCAATCCTTCAGTCCATGTATTAAGCCATAATTTTGATTTTCAACTCCTATTATTCAAGAAATGCCCTTTATTCAGGTTATCCCTGCCATAGAGAGTGATTCTTCTGATGGATCTGGGAAGAGTAAATTGAAAACCTACAGAAAAAGATTCACCATTATAGAAGCCATTAGGAGCATTCATGATTCATGGGAGAAGGACAAAATATTAACATTAACAGTAATTTGGAAGAAGTTGGTTCCAACCCTCAGAGTTGACTTTGGTGTTCAAAACTTCAGTAGAGGATATGTTAATAACTATAGATGTGGTGGGAAGAGCAAAAGAACTGGAAGATGTGACTGAATTCCTAAAATCTTGTGATAAAACTTTAATGGATAGAGTTGCTTTTTGTGGATGACCAAATAAAATGATCTCATGAGTGGAATTTACTACTGGTTAAGACACTACAAACCTTGTTAAAATCACAGCAAATGATTTAGAATAGTGCATAAACTTTGTTAATAAAACAGTGGCAGAGTTTGAGAGAATTTACTCCAACTTTGAGTTAAGTTCTGTGGGTAAATTCTATCAAACAGCATGATATGCTACAGAAAAATCTTTCATGAAAGAAAAAGTCAGTTGATGTGGCAACCTCACTGTCTTATTTTAAGAAATTCTCACAGCCACTCCAGCCTTCAGCAACCAACATGGTGATTAGCCAGCAGCCATCAACATCGAGGCAAGATCCTCCACCAGCAGAAATATTATGTTTGGCCTAAGGGCCAGAGGATTATTAGTGTTTTCAATAATAAAATGCATTTTAATTAAGGTATATATTTTTTAAGACATACTGCTATTGCACAGTTATTATAAAGTTAATGTAAACATAACTTTTTTTTTTTTTTGAGATGGATTCTCACTCTGTCGCCCAGGCTGGAGTGCAGTGGCAGGATCTCGGCTCACTGCTAGCTCTGCCTCCTGGGTTCATGCCATTCTCCTGCCTCAGCCTCCCAAGTAGCTGGGACTACAGGTGCTCGCCACCACGCCTAGCTAATTTTTTGTATTTTTAGTAGAGACGGGGTTTCACCATGTTAACCAGGATGGTCGTGATCACCTGACTTCGTGATCTGCCTGCCTCGGCGCCCCCAAAGTGCTGGGATTACAGACCTGAGCCACTGTGCCTGGCCAACATAACTTTTATATGTAATTTGAAATCAAAAAAATTCTGTGACCCAATTGTGATATTTGTTTTATTGTGGTGGTCTGAATCTGAAATCACAATATCTCAGTTAGTCTTTTTCATAATATCAGACTTAATAAAAAAGTTAGTCTTTTCCTCTCTTCCTCCTTGTCTGCCTTCTCCTTCCCTTTGTGAGATTAAAGTTTTGAGTGATTTCCAAGATGATAAATAAAACTGAGGGAAATATTCAGTGACAAATTCAAAATATTCTAATATAACTTAAAATATGTGTTTGCAGACCTCACTTAAAAACATTTAGCACTGTTGTACCATTTAATATCTTTTTCTGACAAATCTTATTAAGCTTCTTGATTGATTTTCACTTGAATTATTAAATACAAATTTTACATTTTATGTTTTCCTAATAGCTTAATAATCCCCTCGTACATTAAGGCTGAGCTAAATACATTATAGTAGTAATATTTTTCTCTCAACTCACTTTTTTAATGAATATGGAATGTTGCTAAGCTGACATTAGGACAAAAGAAGTCTAAAATAATATGTTATGGAACCTTGTGAGATGCAGTTTGATCTGTGTGGTTTTATGATATATTTCATATTGTGAACTATTTTCATTTTGTTCATTCATTAATTTATTTCTACAACCAAGTATGTATTGACAACTATTTACATGTTACTTGTTATAGATGCTAAAATGTGAAAAAAAAGATAAGAAATACAAAGATAGATAAAATATAATTTATTTCCTGGAGGAACTTAAAATCAAAGGCAGGGAAAAGAATAAAAAAGAACAACTCCAAACTAAGGCAAAGGTAAGTGACTGGACATATTTGAAATAAAAGGCTCATGGATTAAGATATTAAGAACAGACCAAGTTGAGAAATCAAGAACCTTCCTTAAAGAAAACAATGCTTAAACTTCATCTAGAAAATAAATAATATTTTATCAAGTAATGATATTAAAGAAAGAGCACAAGGTAAAAGGGTGACCCTAAATTAGAGCATAGAATAAATTCAGCTTGAAACATGTTAAGAAATAAATGTATACCAATTACATTTTGGTATACAGTATTGATAGAGAAAGACGGTATTTTTGGAATGGTGGTAGCAGGAGCTCTGCGGACTCTCCCTAGAGTAACAACCATAATTGGTAGAAATTATGAAAACAAAACAAAAAGGAACTTTTAGTTTTTTAAAATTATTCTATTTACATTATTAAATAGATAGTTGATTATTTATATCTAAATGAGAGTTATAAATGTCACAGCACCATGTCCCTATGGGCTTTAAAAACATGGCTGTTTTCCAGATTTTTTTCCATAATACAAAATATTATGTGTGGTCACACCTTATAAATTTATAAAAATCATATTAAAAAATCCTGGATTCTAGCTGCCAAGAATGAAATTTAAATGTGCTATCTAGCCAGATGCAGGTGTTCCCTGGCCCATGTTCCATATATGAAGGTTTGTCTGATTTGAATCAATAACTTCTGCTGAAGATAAAATCAGATTAGATGGTCACACAAGGCTGAGGACCCTAAAAGGAAACTGCTTGGCAAAATGAGTTGTTTCACCTGCATAGCCTGGGAGGCCTTAAAGCCTCTTTAAGCAGCTGTGAAGTGTCATTTGAGCAATCGATATACTTTTTACTCTGTGTCTCCATGACACCTATTAGCATGGTTTTTATGTGTTTCTGTGATACCTAATAACACAGTGTGGAGAGCAGAGGCAAGAAGCTTTCAGAATGGTAGAGAAGTCAGTCTCCATTTTTCTACCTATTGGCAGTATTGTAGATGAAAAAAGTGTGTTGATCAAAGTTTGATATATGCTGTTTGACTTGATTGCTCTTGAAAAAAGTAAAAACCTATTTTAGTAGGCCTAATAATTTGCTGGTAAAATTAAGTTGGATTTTCTAAGAGTTTTATATGCTTGACTAAACACTTCCATAGTGACACATACCGTGTCTTATAATAACTTTAAGGTCAGAGGATTGCAATGTTCTATATTTAGAACACATAGCCATCTTGAATGAGAATAAAGTTGATAGGTTTTTCAAATAACTTGCAGCAATCACTTTCTGTTTATCCAATACATCTTGCTTATTTATTGTATGAGTGTTTTAAAAGTTCTATACTCTTCAGATATTTAGTATTGTTTCAAGTGTAATTTTTTTTTTTTTTTTTTTTTTTTTTTTTTTTTTTTGAGACGGAGTCTCACTCTGATGCCCAGGCTGGAGTGCAGTGGTGCGATCTCGGCTCACTGCAAGCTCCGCCTCCCAGGTTCACGTCATTCTCCCGCCTCAGCCTCTCGAGTAGCTGGGACTACAGGCGCCCGCCACCACGCCCAGCTAATTTTTTTGTATTTTTTGTAGAGATGGGGTTTCACTGTGTTAGCCGGGATGGTCTCGATCTCCTGACCTTGTGATCCGCCCTCCTCGGCCTCCCAAAGTGCTGGGATTACAGGTGTGAGCCACTGCACCCGGCCTCAAGTGTAATCTTAATATTCACTATTACTTAGAACATCAGACAAAGAAAAAAAGTATTATTCTGACTCTGATGCTAAGCATTTTGTTTACATTAAACAAGTCTGTATTTTCTGGATCATAGTTTATTCTGTATAATAGAAGAGAGTTTGGACTGAATAATTCCTACCATCTTCCCATTCTAAAAATTTATTTTTCTGTAAGCTTTTCTAAACATTAAGTAAAAGTTAAAATATCTTAGGTAAATTTTGGTCTAAGATGAAGGGATAAGTACTTTTCTTGGCTAGACATTTCTCTCCCCTAAGCTAGTGGGTTATTTTAAAACTATGAGTGGACAGTGAGTAATGTCTTAAGAGGAAGGCATCAATTAGAATGGCTCTGTAGCAAAACACCATTATAATCGTGACCTGCTATACAAGATATAGTTCCTATTGTATTTTATTTGCTCTGTTCATAAATTCACTCTTCTTTAATGGAATCAAAGATATTTGATACCTTTCCCAACTTCGATAAACAAAAAAGGGACCTGATCCCAGACAAGCTCTCTGGACCAATATTTTTTTCCTCAATTTTCTCTTTCCTAGGATATCATGCTCCTTCAAACATGAGACGCTGAACAGTGATGCCACCCAGTTTTAACTTTTTAATTGTTTTTCTTATTTGGGCCACTGAGCGTCAGGGTTTTTGTTTATATATATATATATATATATTTCTTGAAAAAAGTGTTACAAAGTAAACAAAAAAGGTAAAAATTCTGTTAATATTTTTATGTCATTATATAAAAAAAAATCACACAATTGATCTCCTTTGTTATAAATTACCTCTTGCGAATCAATAGCCTAAGCCATGGTAGTTTTACCAATCCAGATGTTCACGGATGAGGGAAACATTGTCATATGGCAAATGGACAAGGAAGCGCCTTCAGCCTAACTGGGCAGGATTGTGCAAAGGCTTTCTGGCATAGGCATGTAGCAGGAAAAAAAGAAAAAATAAAAAGCATAGCTATTACTCTCAAGGAATTCACCACACAATCTGGGGAGATAACTCTAACATACACTAAAAAATATTGAACAGAATAATGTAAGATGAGGTGGTGAATTGTACGGTACAAACTTTAAGTATTTCTCATCTTAGAAAATAACTCCAAGGCCAGGCATGGTGACTTATGCCTGTAGTCCTAGCACTTTGGGAGGCTGAAGCAGGAGGATTGCTTGAGCCCAGGAGTTCAAGATCAGCCTAGGCAACATAGTGAGAGCCCAATTCTACAAAATAAGTAATAATAATTAAAAAAGCCAGGTCCTGTAATGTGCACCTGTCATCCCAGCTACTTGGGAGGCTGAGGAAGGAGGATCACTTCAGCCTGGGAGATCAATACTGCAGTGAGCTGTGATCATGCCACTGCACTCCAGCCTGGGTAACAGAGTGAGATCCTGTCAGCTCCAAGTTAAATTTAATTTTTATTTATAAACTTAGTGTTATATCTATATAGATTATGTTCATGTTGTCCAATATGTATCAGCCACAGGAAGCTATTTAAAGTTAGTTTCAAATTAAATAAAATTAGATTTAAAAACAAATTTTTGGTTGTACTAGTCATATTTTATATTCCACATATAACTAGTAGCTACCGTATCAGAAGATTAAAAAAAAAACCACCAAACTTCTATTACTGAAGAAAGTTCTATTGAACTTGCTTGAATATTTTTTTAAAATTTGAGAAACTGATAAAGGTAATAATGATTAAATTATTGAGTAGTAAACTAGATGATGCATTTAAAGTACTTAGTGTAGTGTTCATTAGAAAGCAAAAGCTGTATATGTGTGTATATATATGTATATATAATATATATGGTTATTGCCAATTATATGTCAAATAATATTTTGGATGAGTGATATATATTTCCCCATCGACCATCATTGCATTTTTATATAACAGAAAACTTGAAATGCATTTTGCAGAATAGAAATTAGACATGAAAAGATCATTGTATTAGTCAACGTTCTCTAGAGGGACAGAACTAATGGAATATATATATGTATACATATACGTGTGTGTGTGTATATATATACACATCCACATATATATATACACATATACATATGAGAGTTTATTAAGTATTAACTCAAATAATCACGAAGTCCCACAATAGGCCATCTGGATGCTGAGGAGCAAGGAGAGTCAGTCTGAGTTCCAAAACTGAAGAACATGGAGTCTGATATTCAAGGGCTGGGAGCACGATAGAAAGATGTAGGCTGGGAGACTATGCCAGTCTCCCTTTCACATTTTTCTGCCTGTTTATATTCTAGCTTAGCTGGCAGTTGATTGGATTGTGCCCACCCAGATTAACCCAGATAAAGGGTGGATCTGCCTTTCCCAGCCCACTCACTCAAATGTTAATCTCCCTTGGCAACAACCTCACAGACACACCCAGGATCAATACTGTGTATCCTTCAATCCAATCAAGTTGACACTCAGTTTTAACCATCTAAATCATTCACGTTAAATCCTAAGCACAGACTGAGATTTCGATTTATATTTCCCAAACATAGAAACTCTTGTTCCTTTCCTCTGGATTTTATTCTCTTCCTAGATTAAAAAGAATGAGCAAAGCCTTGCATCAATTTTGAAAAATTGCTGAGGAAAGAAGCCACTACTTATTGAGCATCTCCTATCTGCCAGAACTTTCTTATGAATTTAATCACAGAAGCATGTGAGACAATTTTATATTCTCGAATCTAAAGATTATTTAGACTCAAGAGTTTAAATCACTTTTTAAGCTAACACAATTGACAAATTTAACAACTGCCTTGAACACCACAGTTTGTTGTCTTTCTCAATTTTATTATTTTTTCCAGGCTAATTTTAAAATTTTTGTATAAGGTCAAATCTTTTCTCATTTCATCCTAAATCTTCCAAATATTTCACATTACTATTATAGTATTGCTATATCAAATCATATTATACCAAATAGTATATATTAAATGCAAATTGTGAAAACATAACACAAATACCTTAAAATGTATATATGTGTGTTTTTATATATATATATATACGCACAAATATATATGTATATACAGTCATGTGCTGCATAATAACTTTTCAGTAACAGTGGAACACATATGTCCTCGTGGTCCCATAGCATTATAATACTGCATTCTTACTCTTTTTTTATGTTTAGATACACAAATACTTAATACTGTGTTGCAATTGTCTACAGTATTCAGTACAGTAACATGCTGTACAGGTTTGTAGCCTAGGAGCAATAGGCTATACCATGTAGCCTAGGTGTGTAGTAATATAATTTTGGGGTTTGTATAAACACACCTTATCATGTTCACACAAAAACATCACCTAACGATGTATTTCTTGGAACATATCTGTTGTGAAATGACACATGACTTAATATGCATATACACACATATAAATTGTACATGTTCAAATAGGATATCAACTGCAGACATATGCACAGCAATCTTTTATTAAATGGAATGGAGCACCCAGTAGTTTACTCTAACATTGTTTAGAATTCCATAAATAAAAACAGGCTATTTAAATTGATGAATATGAAATGTGCTAAGAGGAACAAACACAAAACATAATTATTAAATGGAAATGACAGGAAATCGATTTTTTAAAACCCTCCAGAATTTATCTGGACACAAGTTAAAAAGAAAACAGACATATTCAGCTAAACAAAATGCAGATGAATATCTGTTACATTTTTAATTTTAGTAAGTTTATGTCAACATATTTTAACACTAGATGTCAATATTTTAAATTCACAGACCAATGTTTGCTAAAAGATATTTTCATGATATTTTTATAGCACTCACATTCACTGCTAGACAATGTAATAAAACATGTAATGTTAGTAAAAGACAGTTATAATCATGTAACTTGTTTTATTTTTTATTAAGTAATTATATGCTTAGATGCTTCCAAAGATGGGCATTTGTCCACTGAGACTGATTGTAATGACCAACACTAGAAAAGCTGTGTTTGAGAGGGAGTAGTATTACCCATATTATTGTGTAGCCCTGTATTTTTCTCCTGTATCAACCACAGGAGTGAGTCTCAGAAAATAGCCTCCTTATAGGCAAGTCTCTCTCATTTCCCACTTTGCTTTTAGTGAGTAGTTTTGAAAAAGAAGCCTGTGCTTTTAGCTGCTTCATTTATCTCAACCTTTGTACCAACTGTGTGGGAAGGGCCTACCCAGCTTCCCTCCTGTTCGCTTTTAGCCTGCTTAACAATTCCTGCCTTACTAATAAAATCTGTGGACACACATTTTCCTGCTTTCCATTTTTGTCCTACGTCTACTATAGTTTCTAACCATGTGATTTAGACATAGGAATATTTGAAAGAAAATTTTAAGTTTATTTACTGTGTTCATGGTTCTTTGTCTAGCAGATAAATGTCACATTAATTTTCTAGTAAAAAAAGATATCTCTGGAGACACATTTCAAATAGACCTTTCTCAAAGCCTTCAACATAATGAACAGAAATACAAAGCTAATGAAATTAATTGACAAACTAACAACTTAAATCCTTGTGAGTATAAATAAAGCTACCATTGAAGGAGAGTAATGACTTATCTATTTTTCATTGTGATTCCTAGTTGAAAACAAAATTTCTATTTTATCTAAGCAATTTTGACACATAAAAGATTCTTTAAATATGCTCATATAATATCCGTTATTATCATGGTTTTCCAGAGTAAAAACATTGTATGAGCTTACAGGTAGTGCATTCATTGACAAAAGTTTTATTCAGGGCTAGAGATGGTGTCATGTCCAGATCTCTATTTCTCTTTCTCGTGTGGTTTGACAAGGAATAAGAAAGCCATCCCTAGGTTCTAGCAAGTCCTCTACTGCCTTTTTAAAAAGGGAAATAAAAGCATTGGTGTTTATTGAGCATTTTCAAGAAATGGCTTTATGCAGAGTCAGCTTACTGCTTTGAAATAGTCCATTTGGATTGTTTCAACAAGTTCACAGCTATTATCAAAGTGGGGATAGGAAATAAGAAACAGATGGAAATGTTAGAGGGAGAGGAAGCCTCCACATCTTTCAAATACACTAATTCAGACTGTGGATTTTGATAAATAATTTTCCCTTAAAGATTTCATGCTAGAATTTTGCCCTCAGGAAAATTTCACTCTATGCAATATTTGCCTTTCTTGGATTTCCCAAAATTTTTAGATTTGTGAAAATTTACCAGTATAAGAATAAATACTTACAAACAAATGCCACATGCAGACAGACATATTTAATGAACCAATATGAATTATTTCATTTAAAGAAGATACAAATAGGCCGCACAAGGTGGCTTATGCCTGTAATCCCAGCACTTTGGCAGGCCTAGGCAGGCAGATCAGGAGGTCAGGAGTTGCATACCAGCCTGACCAACATGGTGAAACCCCATCTTTACTAAAAATACAAAAATTAGCTGGGCGTGGTGGTGCCACGCCACTGAGTAGCTGTAATTCCAGCTACTCAGGAGGCTGAGGCAGGAGAGTCACTTGAACTCGGCAGGCGGAGGTTGCAGTGAGCCAAGATCACATCTCACCACTGCACTCCAGCCTGGGTGATGGAGCAAGACTCCGTCTCAACAACAACAACAAAAAGATAAAAAAAGAAGATACAAATAAAATAAATAGAATCAAATGTCTTGTTTATCACCACATAGGGCAATAAACTATTATGAAACAAACTTCTGGGCACCTTTTATCTCATTGTTTCATTTTATTATGAATTTTTTTCCATAAAATATTCTAGCTACATTGTTACATCTTTTTAAGTGTCCCTATTCTCAAATTCAACTTTCCTCAGCCATGTGAATGTATTGGAAAAACATGCTTCTTCCCCTTTCGGTACTTTTAAAACTTTGAGTTATGTTTGGCAATCTTTTATTGAGCTCTTTCTTTGCCAGACATACTCTAAATACGAATGACTTAAGGATGATTAATAACTGATCATGTTCTGGTTTCTTATTATTTTGCAAGGAAGCGGTCTCAAATCATTATATAAATATATCATTATATTATATAAATTATATTATTTAAATCATATAAGAATGTGATAAGTAAAATGATAAGGGATTAAAAGGTACAAAATGGGAGCTCTTCGCTTAGCTTCAGTTGACTATGGGTATGCTAGGGGTGCTTCTGGAAAAGGACTTGGCTTAGTCTAGCTGATGTCAACTGATCAGAAGGAGGCCATCATCAAATGCTCCCATTCCAATAAGTATATGCCACTCATTCCAGCCAGAGAGGGAGTTGATTTCCCATCCCTTGGATCCAGTATAGTTCTGAGTCTTGCTTTGACCAATAGAAAGTGGCAGAGGTCATACTGTATGACCTTTAGGCTTAGAAGTTAAGAGGCCTAACAGCTATTCTTTTCTCTTGGAAGGCAGTCATCATAAAGAAGTCTGAATATCTTGGTTGAGAGCTAGACTTTGGAAACAGAGAGACCCTGTATAATAACAGACTAAGAAGTAAGGAAGACAAGCCCAGCCAGTCCCACAACTATTTCATTAATACCAGGTAAAGCAACAGACCTGCCAGTGAAGCATCTTGGATCCTTTAGCTTTAGGTGAGTTGTCTCAGATTTCACCATGTGAAGCAGACATGCATGAACTATGCTTATCTGCCTAAGCTGCAAAATCATGAGCAAATATATTTTTGCCATCTGAAGGAATTGATTGTGATGATTTGTTATGTAACAATAAACCAGTGAAAATGTGAGTATTCCATGTAGGAATAGAGGGAGTAGACAGTTAAGATACAATGATAAAGGGCATTCATTCCAGAGGGAAGAGTGGAAATAAAGGCATAGAAGCATGAAACTACTGTGTATGCCTGAATACATTCCAGTAGCCTGTTAGTCAAAGTGGCTAGTGATAAGATGATTAACTTGAAAAGGTTTTTTTTTTTTTTAAAGTAAATTTTCTAGGAGTAAAGAGATGACATCTCATCTCTGAAAATTTAATTGCTAAGATTGTTGCTGATACCACAACAATTGATAGAAATACTGTATCTTGCCAGTGACACGTTTTTGCATGTGTGTGCAAATAATGTAAAATATCCAATTCAGCAGGTATTATAAAGTGTAAAGTGTGGCCTAAAGACTAAACTTCTGGTCCAGTTTGTTGTGTGACTATAAGCAAGTTACTTAAATTTGCTGGTCTGCAGTATGTTTTAATCCATAAAATAAGGGAACTAAAATAAATTGTCCATAAAACCTTAAAGGATCTTTGAGCTCTAAGATTTGAAATCCATATGGGTAACACATGACTCTATACCTAATATAACCAGTTATTTTTTTTCTAAACTATGATCTCTGACTTAATTGAGTAACTTGAACTTGTTTGTCCAGCATTGGAAGACAGGCAAAACTATCTGGCTGTTTTTCTCCGTACATCCTTTTTTGCTTTACATTATAAATGAATTCACTCTAAGACACATCTGTCCTGAGAAATTCCAGGTGTTCAGATAAGGTGGGCTGGAGAAAAATGAAGTAACATGGATTTGCATTCTAATATGTTATCTTGAAAACTAATAAATCTAACCTTTCTAGGCGGATGTATGGAGTTAAAAGTACTAATTGATCATGTTGGCACTAAGGTGTTGTTCATTCTGCAAAGGCCACATTAATTCAAATTGATGTGATTCAAATTAACCTTAATCAGCTTCTACACAGACGGTGATTCCATTACAGGATATATTGCAATTAGACTTCTCCTGTCTTTATCTGCCCCATGGCCTTATGAAAGGTTTTGAAATTTTTATTTTGCCTGTTTTGGTATTAAAAAAAAAGTTATAATAACCATTTATTTACACATATCCTGTTATCATTGTTGGCTTAAAGATTGACTTTTTGCCTGTTTACTTTTTGGTTCTGTTTGCTCCAAAAATATCAAAATACTTGGGTTAGGGTGACCTTCATTAATCTTAGACATGTTTTCTTTGCCTGAATGATAGGTTGCTATATGAGAAGACAAGTAAGCAGTAAATTGTAACAGCTCTCATTTTATATTAATAAACTAAATGCACTATGTTTAGGGAGTCCACATAATTAAGAAATGTATAAACTTGAACATAAATAGTAATACGGGATAAATGCACCTTTGAAAACATGAGTTTGAGTGGGTTAAGATGTATGTGGCCTTAAAGAAGCATAGTTATTTCAATTTAATTATATAAAGTAGACAATATTTTATGTTATTCTTTCTATTTTGTTCTTACAGTAATGTTCTTGTAGTAATTTTGGAAGTCAATACTTTCCTTAAGAATACTAAAGTTTTCTTTTGGGAAAAGAGAAAAACTGAGGAGAGGAAACAAACTGCTCTTATACCTTCTTCCATGGTCTTTGGATGAAGGTTAAGTTATGGGCCCCAAAAGTGGGCTAGCCTCATTTGGATAATACTCCATCCTAAGCAGTATGGTTTTGAATAAGTTGCTGAGACTTTCTGTGCCTCCATTTGTAAATGGTATAATAATACCTAGTTCATGGAATTGTTGTGAGAATGACATAAGTGAAAGTATGTATATTTCCATGTTCTATATAAACTGGTTTTCTACAAATTACAAAGCAACAACTAACCAAGTTAATTGAAATCGAGTACTTTATTCAAGTAATAAATATCTGGTATTTACAAATCAAAATTGAAAATCATAGTACATAACGAAAATTCATATATACAGATCAACAAATATAGTAATTTAAAACACCTTTTCCTTTGGTCTATGTGTCTGTTTCTGTACCAGTACCATGCTGTTTTTGTTACTGTAGCCCTGTAGTATAGTTTGAAGTTGGGTAATGTGATGCCTCCAACTTTGTACTTTTTGCATAGAATAGCCTTAGATATTTGGCCTCTTTTATGGTTCCATATGCATTGTAAAATAGTTTTTTTTTCCTAGTTCTGTGAAGAATGTAATTGATAGTTTGATAGGAATAACATTAAATGTATAAATTGCTTTGGGTAGTATAGCCATTTTAATGATATTGATTTTACTTATCCATAAGCACGGGATGTTTTTCCATTTGTGTTATCTCTGTTTTCTTTCAGCAGTGTTTTGTAATTCACATTGTAGATATCTTTTGCATTATTTCTGGGTATTTAATTCTTTTTTTGGCTACTATGAACGGCAGTGCATTCCTGATTCGTCTCTTGGCTATTGTTGGTGTATAGGAATACTAGTGATTTTTGCACATTGATTTTGTATCCTGAAACTTGCTGGGGTTGTTTATCAGCTTAAGAAGCTGTTGGGCCAAGACTATGGGATTTCCCAGATATAGAAACTTGTTATCTACAAAGAGGGATAGATTGACTTCTTCTCTTCCTATTTGGATACACTTTATTTCTTTCTCTTGCCTGGCTGTTCTGGCAAGAACTTTCATAGTTATGTTGAATAGCAGTGGTAAAAATAGAGTGCCCATAAATAAAGCTTCACACCTACAACCTCCGGGTCTTCAACGAAGCTGACCAAAACAAACAATAGGGGAATGATTCCCTATTCAATAAATGGTGCTGAGATAACCGGCTAACCATATGCAAAATACTGAAGCTGAACCCCTTCCTTATACCATATACAAAAATAAATTCAAGATGGATTAAAGACTTAAATATAAAACCCAAAAGGGTAAAAACTCTGAAAGACAACCTAGGAAATACTATATTGGACATAGGAACAGGCAAATATTTCATGACAAAGATGCCAAAAGCAATCATAACAAAAACAAAAATTGACAAATGGGATCTAATTAAACTTAGGAGTTTCTGCATAGCAAAATAAACTATTAACAAAATAAATGGACCTACGGAATGGGAGCAAATTTTTTGCAAACTATGCATCTGTCAAAGGTGTAGTATCTAGAATCTGTAAGGAACTTAAACAAATGTACAAGAAAAAAATGAACAACCCTATTAAAAAGTGGGCAAAAGACATGAACAGAGACTTTTCTAAAAAAGACATACATGTGGCTAACAAGCATATGAAAAAAGCTCAATATCACTCAACATTAGGGAAATGCAAATCAAAAACCACAGTGAGATACCATCTCACACCAGTCAGAATGGCTATTATTAACAAGCAAAAAAATAACAGATGCTGGCAAGGTTGTGGAGAAAAGGGAACACTTATACACTGTCAGTGGGAGTGTAAATTAGTTCAACCATTGTGGAAAGCACTATGGTGATTCCTCGAAGAGCTAAAAACAGAACCACCATTCAGCTCAGCAATCCCATTACTAGGTATATACCCAGAGGAATATAAATTTTTCTATTATAAAGACATATGCAAGCGAAAGTTCACTGCAGCACTATTCACAATAGCAGACATGGAACCCGTCTAAATCTCCATCAATGACAGATTCAATAAAGAAAATGTGGTACATATACACCATGGAATACTATCAAGCCATATAAAAGAACAAGATCATGTCTTTAGCAGGAGCATGGATGGAGCTAGAGGCCATTATCCTTAGCAAACTAACAAGAGAACAAAAGCCCAAATACTGCATGTTTTCACTTATAAGTGGGAGCTAAATGATGAGAACGCATGAACACAAAGAACAGAACAACAGACACTGGGGCCTTTTGGACGGTGGAGATTGGGAGGAGGGAGAGGAGCAGGAAGAAACAACTACTGCATATTAGGCTTGGTACCTGGTTAACAAAATAATCTGTACACCAAACCTGTGTGACATGAGTTTACTTATATAACAAAGTTTCACATGTAGCCCCAAACCTAAAATAAAAGTTAAAAAAGAGACACATTTAGGTGTTGTGTAACACATCCCTTTCATTTTATAGAGTACATTTTCATAAGCGAAGGCCACTGAAAGTTATTGAACTTCTGTAAGTAGTGTGGGGAAACAATCAAATATATGAGATTTAGCGAGACCAAACTCCTGCTATGTAGAGAAAGAATGGGAGTCAGCTGGGGTACGAAATAGGGAGCAGGGAGGCATTTGTGGCTCTCACAGTCGTCCATCTGCCAAGGGTGGTAGCAAAAAACATGCACAGCAGAAAGGGGTAAATTTTGCAAATGGACTGGCACGTAAATAAGTAACCTAATTCCGCACTGCCTTGGAAGAACAAGGCTCACCAACTATTGCAAGATTCTATTTTAAAGAGTGGTGTAAAGGACATTGGAGACTCAAAAGCATGGAGGATTGGGGGGGTGGTGAGGGATGAAAAACCACCTATTGGGTACAATGTACATGCTTCAGGTGACGGGTACACTAAAATCCCATATTTTATCCATGTAACCAAAAATCACTTGTACCTTTAAAGCCACTGAGATAAAAAAAAGTCTGGCTGGGCATGGTGGCTCACGACTGTAATCCCAGAACTTTGGGAGGCCAAGGCAGGAGGATTGCTTGAGGCCAGGAGTTTGAGACCAGCCAGGCCAACATGGCAAAACCCCGTCTCTACTAAAAATACAAAAATTAGCTGGGTGTGATGGCATGTGCCTGTAATGCCAACTACTTGGAAGGCTGAAAGCAGGAGAATCACTTGAACATGAATCATGCCACTGCACTCGAGCTTGAGCAACAGAGTGAGTGAAACTCCATCTCAAAAAATAAATAAATAAGTTTCAGAAATTAATAGCCTCATGTAAATTTTATAATATCTGGAGTTTTAGTTTTGCTCATTCTTAATATGCTTATCTCCCCTTGATGTGAAACACTAGAAAGGTGAATAGTCAATGTTTCATAAATTTCTTGTTTGTAAAGTACTACATTTCATTTAGCATAGTGTAGTTTAGTATTTTATAGTGCAGTTTACTTTTTTAAGATATAAGTATGTCCTTTAATGTTTTTAAGACCCTGGAATAAAGCCTAACCTTGATATTTCACTCTTAATTTGTTGAGTGAATACCTACTGAGAAAGATATAGGGGGAATACAAACATAATTTGTAACTTTAAGACAGAGTAATTTTGGTGATGAAAGTCCATGGGAGGTTGTAGCTGAAGTAGATGAGGTCTTTGGAGTTGCAGAGTTCAATGAATAAGAAATAAATCATTAGATATCTTGCCCACATGGGCAGCACAGTTAGCAAGAATGAGATGAGACTTATATTGAAAGGGAACATTGCCAGTTACATGCCACTTCACTAGTGAAATGAAGACTGCCTAAGGTGAGAGAGAGGCTTTAGTCAGATAGCCCAAACACCCTCCACTTTGAGGGATACAGGAAAAGCACTCTGTTCCAGGGAGAATCAGATTTAAGTTAAAGTCTGAAGGTAAAAGTCCCACAAAGTAAGGGTAATAAGGATGCAGGACTGAGGTAACCATGGAACAGGGGCTTGGTGGTAAGACTAGGAAGAATCTAATAAGATAATATATATGTATATTGTCTGGCAGTGTGCTATGGGCTAAATTGTGTGCCCTGAAATGTATGTGTTAAAATCTTAACATTCAATACCTCAGAATGTGACTCTTATTTGAAGATAATGTATTTAGAGAGGTAATTAAGGTTAAATTAGGTCACTGGTGTGAGCCCTAATCCAATAGGACTAGTGTCCTTATAAGAAGAAGAGATTAGGATACACACACACAGAGGAAAGATCATGTGAAGATACCCGGCAAATATAACTATTTACAAGGAGACACGTCTTCAGAAGAAACTAACCCTACTGACCCTGGATCTTGGACTTCTAGCCTGTAGAACTGTGAGATAAAAGCTCCTCAGTGGTGCAGTACTTTTTATGGCAGCCCTAGAAAATGAATACACAACATAACAAATGCTTTTTGTTCATTAGATGTTTATACACATACCGTTTTACAACAGTGACCTCTCTGCAACTCTCAATCAGCTGCATTCAAGCCTGTACATGAGAAAAAGACTGTGTAGCAGGAATCAACAATTGGAGAACAGTCACTGAGCATACATTTAAAAATTTGCCTCTTTTTAGTTTTCCTTTGATTAAGCAAAACATATCTACTTGAAAATGGTCTGGAAAGAGTTCTCTTCTAATAACTTTGTGCTTCTCTGGATTTCTTCCGGCACCACAATTTTCTAGTTTTGCATTCATCTAACATGGTACCTCATGCATAGTAGGTACTAAATAAGTGATTAATGAATGGGTACTTGAATGAATATATGCCATGGCAATTTTCATAAACTAGAGCACAAGATAAAAGATATTAACATTTTCTCACTTATTTCCACACTGTGCATATGTTTCATTGAAGCTTGTTACTTTTCACTCTTTTCTAGATTATTTGCCTTTCCCATTGTGCCAGTCTTCATCATAGCAATGAGTTGGAGTTTTAATTAAATGAAAAAGAGCATACCAAGTCAAATCTTCTGCAATTAATTGCATGTGGCACACTGTTCAAAAGTGTACATAATACATTCTGCAAATAAACATGAAAATTAATTATAAAAACACAACTGCAGTCAAATTCAATTATAGCCTACTTAAGTGATAGAATCAAAACTATAATACATATTTACAAATTAACAAAAATAAATTTATATAATAATAGCATAGAAATATTTTAGACAACATAAAGACAAGGACAATGGCTACATTTGACATAAATTAAGAGAGAGAACCATCCACCAAATATTTTTCAGTTTATTTTTCTAAAAGTAAATAATTTGCAGTTTAAAGTAACAATTTTCAATGGTAGTTTGGGTTAAAAAGAAGTGTTCAAACACAAACAAGGAAACAAACATACAAAAGAAACATACTGGCAAATGAGATAAATTCTTTAATAATTTTTTTAAATAAAATTTGCCTTCAAGAGAGCTTTAGCTTTTTTTTGGTAGAGCTTCTAGTAATTTCTTGTGACCTACTCAACGTGGTCAATAAATAGAAGAATCTGCTATAAAACTTATATTTATGTAGTGTGCATGTATATGTATGGATTATATTTAAATTTAAGCAGCATATATATAAGCTTGTGTGTGTGTATATATATATCATGTGTGTGTATGTGTGTGTACATATATACTAAGTGCAGTTCAGTAAGACTTTCTATGATGAGGACTATTGAACACTTAAAATGTGCCTAGTGTAGCTGAGTAACTGAAATTTTAATTTAATTTAAATCAATCAAAATTTGAATTTAAATAACAGATGAGTTAGTGAATATCATATTGGAGAGCAAAACTTATCTATAAATTGGTATTATATATGTAATTATGTATAAAATGTACATATATAATCTAAATTTATGTTGGTATTATATATAATGTATGGTATATGCTTATATGTATATGTGCATATATATATATTTATTTAATTATACTAAACAATATAATCACAGGTTCATGTTACAACAGAATAATGCAAGTCCAGGTTCAGCTGCTCACCACTCAAAAGCCAAACACAAGAGAAGAGAATTAGTGAGAAAATAAAAGCAGTTTTATTCAGAAAGCCAGCAAACCACGAAGATGGTGGACTAGTATCCTAAAATACCATCTTAAGTCAGAACAAATTTTAGGCTTTTTTAATGTTAAGGGCAGGGGGAAGAAGAGGGGGTTGGGATCAAGAGGTGATTGACAAACACAGACATCTGGGCACCAGGGAGGGTCTGAGGAGGCTGGGAACATTTTTGCCCTTGGTCAGGTCACAATGCTCCTATAAGCCTTTCCCAAAACATAGTTGTTTACATACTTCTCCTTTAATCTCAGAGTTAGTTTTAAAAATTACATAATGGCTGTTTTTACATATTATCTTAGTGCTCTAAAATTATACTAGCCTACCTGCAGGAATGAGTAAAGGCCCCTTAGACAAAAATGGAGTTAGTTATTTTGCTGTTTCACTGTTACAAAATCTTACAAAACTTACAATTGAAAAATTGAAATATTTAAATCTTCTATTATCAAATTTGATAAGCTTAATCTCCCTAGGATTAAGTTAGTTCGTTAAACAAGTAAATAATTAGACAAAAAGCAGGTGAGTCCAAGCAAATTCTAGGTCTGCTGCTTTCTGTGGATTCTAATAAAATGAAACATCTAACAAGCCTCAATTTTGAAATCCTATATTTCTGTTTAAGATAAACATGGACACATATAAATAAGAATTTCTACAACAAAATTAATCTTCACTTTTTAATTTCATTACTAAATATTTAGATAAAAAATATTTAACAAAATTGGTAGAATTACCAAATTTGTGTACTTCTACTTCTAGAAATAACAAGTAAAAGAAATTTTTGAAGTATTTGCCTAGATGCAACCTTAAATGTGAAAGAATCTCTACCATCTGGGTAACATTAAATAATTAATTTACAACTCTTGCCTCAATTTACAAGATAAGAGGCAAACAGACAAATTTAACTTTAAAGACGATAATCAAGGTAGTCAAACAGATGAATATGTCTGCTCTGTAAAAGAAATGTGTAATACCTATGCAGTGCCTTTGCTAGTATGATGATATAGCTTGATTAAACTTAGCCAACAACATTTCAAATGTAAAATAAACAATGCCTCTAATACAGCATTAAAGTATTGTTTGCCTTGCATTTTTGTACAGTTTCCAAAGCCATATACCCAAACACAAATTTAAGAATAAAACACATAAATATAAAGCATTTTTTTCTGCAAAAAGATGATATTTAAGAAGCACAACACAACAGGATGTGAATGATGATGTAATAATTCACATCCTTTGCATGGGTAGACATAAGATCATACTGAGCTCCATTTAATGCACAAGGTGTGAATTGTTACCCCATAATTCACACACAGAATAGTTTATTGTGCTTATAAACAAGTCCCTATACAAATTTTTATTAAAAAGAGCTAAATGTTCAATTGTAGTATGTTTTTAAAAGGATATGTGAAGAAACAATGAGAATATGAATTAGAATAACATTAGATGTCTTCAATTTTAAACACAGTACTTTAACCAAAAAAATCAAAATGCATTTTTTTTTGCCTTTCTTGACTGATGTTCAGACACAGCAGGTGTTTTAGCAGCCAAGTCAGTTTATGCCATAGTTACCAGAGATCCCCTTAGAATCATCTCTTTTTTTCACCATTCACCTCCCCTGCTAGGTTTTTTACCATTACTTCAGAGCTATATAACCCTCTGAAGTTTCACTTATACTTTTTAAAGCCTGCTAGTTTAGTTCTTGTGCACAGGAAAA
Organism: Homo sapiens; assembly: GCF_000001405.40. Taxonomy (NCBI): domain Eukaryota; kingdom Metazoa; phylum Chordata; class Mammalia; order Primates; family Hominidae; genus Homo; species Homo sapiens. The sequence continues at coordinate 134,298,020 of NC_000004.12, read as the reverse complement.
TCATAAAAGCCTCCTAGCTCTCTTCTATCAAGTTCTAGATAGCATGAAGCTGAAGTAGGTGTTTACCTTTGAACTTGGGATTCCTGGAAATTCTCTTGATTGTGAGCAGTTAACTCCACTGAAAAACAAGCTTTCTGCAACTGATTCTCACAGCTAGCTGTTAAGAAATTTGGTTTATAGTGGGATTTAATGGGCTCCTTTAGATATGGGTCTGTATTAAAAAGTGGAGCTGCATTTGGATAGTAAGCACAGGTTAGACAGAAATCTTATTGAGCAATGGCTTGGAGTAATTGCTCAGATAATTCTAGAAAACTTTCCTGAAATTTTCTTTCTTTAACTTTTATTTAAGTTCAGGGGTACATGTGCAGGATTGTTATATAGGTAAACTTGTGTCATGGGTTATTGTTATACAGATTATTTTGTCACCCAAGTATTAAGCCAAGGACCACTTGTTTTTCTGGATCCTCTCCCTCCTTTCACACTCCACCCTCTGATAGGCCCCAGTGTGTGTTGTTCCCTGTATGTGTCCATGTATTATCATCTCATCATTTAGCTCCTACTAATAAGTGACAGCATGTGGTATTTTGTTTTCTGTTCCTTCATTAGTTTGCTAAGGATAATGGCGCCCAGCACCATCAGTGTCCCTGCAAAAGACAGGATCTTGTTATATTTTTATGGCTGCATAGTATTCCATGGTATATATGTACCACATTTCCTTCATTCAGTCTATTATTGATGGGCATTTAGGTTGATTCTGTCTTTGCTATTGTGAATAGTGCTGCAACGAACATACAGGTGCATGTGTCTTTGTAATTCAATGATTTATATTCTTTGGGGTATATACCCAATAATGGGATTGCTGGATCGATGGTATTTCTGTCTTTAAGTCTCTGAGGAATCACCGCACTGTCTTTCACAATGGTTGAACTAATTTACACTCTTACCAAAAGTGTATAAGCATTCCTGTTTCTTCACAACCTTGCCAGCAGCTGTTATTTTTTGACTTTTTATTAATAGCCATTCTGACTGGTATGAGATGATAACTAATTGTGGTTTTCATTTGCATTTCTCTAATTATCAATGATTTTCAGCTTTTTTTCCCTGTTTGTTGGCTGTATGTATGTCTTCTTTGGAGAAGTTTCTGTTCATGTTCTTTGTCCACTTTTTAATGGGGTTGTTTTCTTCTTGTATATTTGTTTAAGTTCCTTGTAGGTGTTGGCTATTAGACCTTTGTTGGAAGCATAGTTTGCAAAAATTTGCTCCCATTATGTAGGTTTATCTAGTCACTCTGTTGATAGTTTCTTTTGCTGTGCAGAAGTTCTTTAGTCTAATTAGACCCCATTTGTCAATTTTTGCTTTTGATGCAATTGCTTTCAGTATCTTCATCATAAAATCTTTGCCTATGCCTATGTCCTGAATGATATTACCTAGGTTGTCTTCCAGGGTTTTTATAGTTTTGGGTTTTACATTTAAGCCTTTCATCCATCTTGAGTTTATTTTTGTATATGGTGTAAGGAAGGAGTTCAGTTTGAATCTTCTGCATAAGGCTAGCCAGTTATCTCAGCACCATTTATTGAATAAAGAATCCTTTCCCCATTGCTTGTTTTTGTCAGGTCTGTTGAGGATCAGATAGGCATTAGTTTGCAGGTGTGTGAACTTATTTCTGGGCTCTCTATTCTGTTCCATTGGTGCCTGTTTTTGTGTCAGTGCCATACTGTTTTTGTTACTGTAGCTCTGAAGTATAATTTGAAGTCAGGTAGCATGATGCCTCCAGCTTTGTTCTTTTTATTTAAGATTGTCTTGACTATCAGGCTCTTTTTTGGTTTCATACGAATTTTCATATAGTTTGGTCTAGTTCCATGAAGAATGTCAGTGGTAATTTAATAGGAATAGCATTGAATCTATAAATCGCTTTGGGAAGTATGGCCATTTTTTGATATTTATTCTTCTTATACAAGACTGTGGGATGTGTTTCCATTTGTTTATGTTATCTTTGATTTCTTTCAACAATGTTTTGTAGTACTCCTTGTAGAGATCTTTCACCCTCCCTAGTTACCTATATACCCAGATATTTTATTCTTTTTGTGGCAACTGTGAATGGGATTGTGCTCCTGACTTGTCTCTCAGCTTCACTGTGGTTGCTATATAATAATGCTAGACATTTTTACACAATGTTTTTATATCCTGATACTTTGCTGAAGTTGTTTATCAGCTTATGAAGCTTTTAGGCTGAGGCAATAGGATTTTCTGGATATAGGATCATGTCATCTGCAAACAGAGATAGTTTAACTTCCTCCATTCCTATTTGGATACCCTTTATTATTTTTTTTTATTTCTTGCCTGATTGCCCTGGACCAGCCTTCCAATACTATGGCTGAATAGGAGTGGTGAGAGAGGGCATCCTTGTCTTTTGCCAGGAATGTTTCCAGTTTTTGCCCATGCAGTATGATTTTGGCTGGGGGTTTGTCATAGATGACTTTTATTATTTTGAGGTATGTTCCTTCAATAGCTAGTTTATTGAGAGTTTTTAACATGAAGATGTATTGAATTTTATCAAAAGCCTTTGTTGCATCTATTGAGAGAATTATGTGGTTTTTGTCTTTAGTTCTGCTTATGTGATGAATCACATTTATTGATTTGTGTATGTTGAACCAACATGGCATCTTAGGGATAAAGCATATTTGATTGTGATGAATAAGCTTTTTGATGTGCTGCTGGATTTGGTTTGCCTGTATTTTGTTGAGGATTTTTGTATTGATGTTCATCAGGGATATTGGCCTGAAGTTCTCTTTTTTTGTTGGATCTTTGTCAGATTTTGGTATCAGAAGATGCTTGCCTTGTAGAATGAGTTAGGGAGGAATTCCTCCTACTGAATTTTTTGGAATATTTTCAGCAGGAGTCGTATCAGCTCTACTTTGTACATCAGGTAGAATCCCTCTGGTCCTGGGATTTTTTTTGGTTGGTTGGCTATTTATTACTTACTCAACTTCAGAGCTTGTTTTGGTCTGTTCAGTAATTTAATTTCTTCCTGGCTCAGTCTTGGGAGGGTGTCTGTGTCCAGGAATTTATGTATTTATTCTCGATTTTCTAGTTTATGTGCAGAGAGCTGTTAATAATATTCTCTGATGGCTGTTCATATTTTATTGGGTCAATGGTAATATCCCTTGTCATTTTTGGTTGTGTTTATTTGAATCTTCTCTCTTTTCTTCTTTATTAGTTTAGCTAGTTGTCTGTTTTATTAATTTTTTTTCTAAAAACCACCTTCTGAATTTGTTGATCTTTTGAAGGGTTTTCGTGTCTCTATCTTCTTCAGTTCAGCTCTGATTTTGGTTATTTGTTGTCTTCTGCTAGCTTAGGGATTTGTTTGCTCCTGGTTCTCAAGTTCCTTTAGTTGTGATTTTAGGTTGTTAAGTTGAGATCTTTCTAACTTTTTCATGTGGCCATTTAGTGCTATAAACTTCCCTCCTAAAACTGTGTTGGCTGTGTTCCAGAGATTCTGGTATGTTGTATCTTTTTTTCTGATTAATTTCAAAGAACTTCTTGATTTCTGCCTTAATTTCATTATTTACCCGAAAGTCATTCAAGAGCAGGTTATTCAATTTTCATGCTTTATTAGCATGTGGAATATTTTGGAACAACTCCAAAAATGCTCCTTTTGTGTGGGGTGTTTTATTTTTTGCATTTTTATTATGAGAAAATATACATGACATAAAATATAGCATTTAAAAATTACTAAATATATATTTAAATGGCATTAAGTAGATTCACAATGTTGTGCAACCATCACCATTATATATTTCCAGAACTTTTACATCATCCCAAACAGAAACTCTGTACCCTTTAAACAACAACTGCCCATTCCTCCTTCCCCAAGTCCTTGGTAACCACTATTTCACTTTCTGTCCCTATTAATCATTTTGTTTTTTTAATGGTTTGTGAGGCTATACAATTCAGTGTGGGCATTGGAGAAAAAAAATATTCATTAGTCTTCCTATTGATAGCTAAGGCCTAAACTACTCTTTAAAGAATATTGATTGAAATTGTTAATATTGATATGTACTTGTAATATATAAACTTAATGAGATATTAATAGCTCCAAGTAATTGCTACTTTGTTAGTTTTATTAGGAATATTTTTCTACTATTGGTGGGCAATATTATAACAAAAATTGGATGAAGTGTACTCTATAGACTTCAACTATTTGAGGGATTGTTGATCTTTTGAAGGGTTTTTGTGTCTCTATCTTCTTCAGTTCAGCTCTGATTTTGGTTATTTGTTGTCTTCTGTTAGCTTAGGGATTTGTTTGCTCTTGGTTCTCAAGTTCTTTTAGTTGTGATTTAGGCTCAAGCAACCCTCCCACTTTGCTTCCCAAAGCACTGAGATTACAAGTGTGAGCCAATGTGCTCAGCTTCCATTTGGACATATTTTCTAATAGCCATATCATTTATATAAGTTTATATATCAGATGGAATCTTCCTATTTTCATATTGGTACCACTCAACTAACATTTTAAAATGATGTTTGTAGTCATTAAGTGTTATCCAGAATGATCTCAAAATGTGAGAAAATGAGTTTCCAATTTTTATTAGGTTTTTATGTGTTACTATTATTTCAGTCAATGAAAGTCTACTTTGTATTGTTTCTGAGTTTTCTAATATTCTATGGTATTGAAAACAATCATGGTATTAAAAATTTAAAGAATTTCTTCTGCATGAATATGTCTGCCAGTAAAGCTATCTATAAAATGATCACTTCTGTTATTGCATTCTTTAGCTTCAGGATTTCTATTGGGTTCTTTTTATGGTTTCCATTTTTTTATTAAACTTATTTTGCCGATGCATTGTTTTCCTAATTTTATTTAGTTGCTTATCTGTTTTGAGCATCTTATTCAGCTTCAAGATGATCATTTTGTTTTTTGACAATTCATAGATCGGTAGTTCTATAGAGATCTAGTAGAAGTGGGCTGCTAGGATTTTATTGCTTTCCTTTGGTTGTGTGACAGTTGCCTGATTTTTTATGATCTGCATAGGCTTGCATTTGTGTTTGTGCATTTGAAGGAGCAAACACCTCTTCCAGTCTTTACAGACTGGTTTTGGTAGGTAAAGATCTTTTGGGTCCATAGGCTGATGGGATTACCTCCAGAATAGGGGTCTTATGGGATTGGAGCCAGGTCACATGGTTACTGCTGAGTCTGCAGTGAGGTCCACAGGCCTGTTACCAGGGGTTTGAGGTGGGGTGGATCCTGCCTGGTGCCTGGGTGTACTAGATTAGGCTTCTTGGTACATCACTTCAAATGTAGATTAGGTTTCATAAATACTAGCCAAAAGCACAAAATTATTGTGTTATGTGATCAGATAAGAAAACTCTGATCACATATTTTTTAAAGTCCTTTTAAGATAACATTTCTATATCTTGATAAAATATATTAATAGGGTTGGAATTCTGACTCCAATTAAAACATTTTTCAGCCTCAATGTCTTCTTAGTAAAACAGGAATTCATAAGCATACTCTGAGGATATATGAACTAATTTATGTAAAGTCCTTGGAACATTATATAGATGTTCCTAGCACATAGGAGGTATATATATTTTCTGACAGCCATATAACTTTTCTAACTTGATTTTTAAGGTGTATAACTTTGATTATTTTTATCTTTATATTAATATCATCCTACTAAAATGTTTTAAAATTAAATATGTAGTCACTATTAAATATCAAGAATTATCTCAAAATATGAAAAAATAGTTTCAAGTTTTTATTAGGATTTCATGTATATTTTTATTTTAGTCAATTAAAACATTTATATTTGTTTTGTTCTCTATATAAATATTATCTATCACCATCGTCATCATTGTAGACTCTTCTAATTTGGTTATCTATTATATATTATTACAATTAAGTTATTGAATTTTCCCTTTAGTTTTCTTTTCGAGTTTAAGACAATAGCCTTTTAAACCAAAATATATTTGAATATTTGCCTTGGGGAAACTGTACCTTACCCTGATATTTGGCTGTTTATAGGTTTGGATGAGGCTGGTGTTAGGTTACACACAATTAGATTTAATACAAAAATATTCATTTACTGAGTAATACTTGTTGATATAAAAAAAGTCACTAACTTCCATGTTGCCTTTTTAAAAATGTGCTGGCATTAATCTGTGTAGCTGTTGTCTTCTGTACCTAGATCTTTCTGAACATTAAATCTTAGATGTTCCACAAGCAACTTAACCTCAAAAATTACAAAAGTTGCATACTGTATATCATCCCTTCTCCTCCAGACCTAAAAACCTGCCATTCTGTTTTATTCTTAACTAAACTAGAAGTAGATCTAAGGCTGTTACATATCCCAGATTCTATGGAAATCATCACTATGTCCTTTCCATTTAGTCATGATATTCCCCTGTTTCCACCTCTGAAATACCCCTAGTCATTCTCCGTAATGCCATCCTGGACATGCTTTGATTATATTTTCAATAATTCCTATTAGACAACATTTTCTTAATTATTTTCCCATTTCCCAGAGTGTATATTCCTACTTTTCAAGAAAACTGAGTTTATTATGCCTTATTCACCTTTACCCATATTTTATAAAACAAAGTCAGCTAGGAACTGTGCTAAGTGCCAACTAAATGATTATTAACATTGAGTATGATATTCTCATGAAATTTACGTTTTGAAATAGGAATGAATAATTTCCAATGAATATATATTTTAATTAAAACATAGTCAAATTTAGATTGGAATCTTTTGAAAGCAAGGCAAGTCTAATTCAACATGCAGTCTATTTTCTCCCAGTAATATCCGTCCTTAAAAATAAGTGAGTCATGGTTATTGCTTCTATCTGTTAAGTATATATTTAGTAAAACATTATAGTATTTAGTAAAGTTTTATAGCATCCTTTCATGTGCAAAATTTTTACTCACAAATCTCTAGGCCTTAAAAATTAAGACAAAATCTCTGAAATGACTAATTATTAGTTCTCAAGCAACTGGACAAAAGTAAATAATTCATGAAGTTAGAAACCTGAAAAGATGTTCATTTGAGCCTAGTTATTTTAGAAGTGTTTGTGTAAATTCCATTACTTATTTTTAACTATATGTTTCACTAGAAATAGATGTTTTTTCTTTTAATTATTTGAAAGCTGTGGTCAAACCGAAATTTTTGCAAGGTCTGTATCTTTGATCTATGTTAAAAAAATGTGGAGGATGGGGATACACACTTCTTTGAAAGCTCCCAGAGAACCTATTTTATGGTGAAAATTATTAAAAACAAAACATTATTGGTCAAAATCACGATATTATGCTTCATATAGAAATATCGAAATACACCCTAGTGAGTTCCCAGCTGTAAATTAAATGCAAAACACATGGTAGGTTATTTTGTAAGAATATCTAACATGTCATAGAATTCTATTATTTTACACTAATTATAAGTACTTTGAAAATTGATATCAAAAGTCCACTTAAAACCAGAATATTTGTCTCTCAAATTGTTTAATAAAGCATTGAAAATGAGTTCTTCTAATTTTTTTAAAAAGATTAATTAAAATATAATAAGGAAATTAAATGGAGCTTATTTTCCCAATTAAAACAGTGCAATTAAAAACAATGATTTTCTCATTTATAGTCTTATGCAATATAGGCAAGAATAATGTTTTGTAGTAGAAGTTATTAGAAAATTTGTCCTGGTTAAATGGAGATATCTTCCTATAATATATTAAAACCATTTTAAAACACTATATTGCCAGACTGATTCTAAATTACATATAGCAAAATCAATATATTTAATAATTCATGAAAGACTTAACTAATATTTTATTTTACACAATTATGGTATATTAACATTGGAATATTAGCACTAACCAAGCTAAAATTTTACTACTAATCAATGCTTTATTTTATATTGCATTTTTCTAAATTAACATATATTTCTCATTCAGTGTTTTGTCTGTTGCATAAGAAGTTCATATGAGCCATTCAGCTTAAAAAATCATAGTGTGAATGTGCTAGCTTGAAGTTTCCTTTTCCTGTTTTCTCTGAACATGTATACTATATTTCAGATAGGAAAATTCTTAAATTTTATTATTGGATAAGTCTCTTTTAACACATTTAAAGTAATCTGTCAGTAAGTTACTATAAAAATAAATGTAGGGATCTAATTAAACTAAAGAGCTTCTGCACAGCAAAAGAAACTACCATCAGCGTGAACAGGCAACCTACAGAATGGGAAAAAATTTTTGCAACCTACTCATCTGACAAAGGGCTAATATCCAGAATCTACAATGAACTCAAACAAATTTACAAGAAAAAAACAAACAACCCCATCAAAAAGTGGGCTAAGGATATGAACAGACACTTCTCAAAAGAAGACATTTATGCAGCTAAAAAACACATGAAAAAATGCTCATCATCACTGGCCATCAGAGAAATGCAAATCAAAACCACAATGAGATACCATCTCATGCCAGTTAGAATGGCAATCATTAAAAAGTCAGGAAACAACAGGTGCTGGAGAGGATGTGGAGAAACAGGAACACTTTTACACTGTTGGTGGGACTGTAAACTAGTTCAAACATTGTGGAAGTCAGTGTGGCGATTCCTCAGGGATCTAGAACTAGAAATACCATTTGACCCAGCCATCCCATTACTGGGTATATACCCAAAGGATTATAAATCATGCTGCTATAAAGACACATGCACACGTATGTTTATTGTGGCACTATTCACAATAGCAAAGACTTGGAACCAACCCAAATGTCCAACAATGATAGACTGGATTAAGAAAATGTGACACATATACACCATGGAATACTATGCAGCCATAAAGATGATGAGTTCATGTCCTTTGTAGGGACATGGATAAAGCTGGAAACCATCATTCTCAGCAAACTATCACAAGGACAAAAAAACAAACACCGCATGTTGTCACTTATAGGTGGGAATTGAACAATGAGAACACATGGACACAGGAAGGGGAACATCACATACCGGGGACTGTTGTGGGGTTGGGGGAGGTGGGAGGGATAGCATTAGGAGATACACCTAATGCTAAATGACAAGTTAATGGGTGCAGCACACCAACATGGCACATGTATACATGTGTAACAAACCTGCAGGTTGTGCACATGTACCCTAAAACTTAAAGTATAATAATAATAAAATTAAAAAATAAATAAATAAATAAATGTAAAGAAGAATAAATAGTCTCTAGCAAAGCGTTTATGCTCTTATCTATTTTTAATTCACATCCACTAATACTACATTTTGAAGTCTGAAATAAATCATTCTCCCTGTAGCACAACCCTTTGGTTGAGAGCAGGAAAAGGAATTACTGGGAAAGTCTGACGAGGATTATTGAGGAAACACAAATACTAATTGCTTATGTTTTCATGCTTTTGTTTGTTCATGTTCAGCTAGCAATAGCTCAAAAGAAATTTTACTTTTTTTAAAGAAGGACTTTGAAATTCTACTGGAACTGCTATTTCTAACTGAAATATTTTGAAATTTTTAATGCAAGGTAGTCTGGAGCAACGTGTTTGTATAATGTTGTCTCATTCCCTTCTTTCAAATGTAATATGCATATGCTCTAACACAGGCTAAACCTGTAGTCGTAAGTTATCTAAGATTTAGAATAACATTTATTTGCTATGATGTTAGTTATGTTTCCTGAAATCCAATAATAGTCACTCACAATATTTTATATTAGCAACATATAGAAATTTTTCTGAGAGTAGTGCAAAGAATAGTCAATGGATTTGTCACTTAATTAATTTTCTCTAATTCTTCTCCAATTAGAGCACTTGGTTATTCTTTATATGAAGAGAGACCATTTCTACCTTCAGGTCTTTGCTCTTGTAGTCTCTCCAAAGATGAAGTGCCTTCCTTTCTTTTATCAGCTAATATGTCCTTTAACATCTAGCTGTGTGGAATCTTTGTGGATTTAGCCCTTATTACTCCAACTGGCAATTGTTTCTGAAATCATCCATTAAAGTTACAATCTCTAGAGCATGGCAATTAGCAGCTCACACTTTTAATTCACATACCCCTAACTTTATTTTGTTTTGTTTTTTTATGTCAAAATTTGAGGGAGGGGGTACATATTAATTTTTAAATTTTTAAATTGACAAATAGTAATGGTACCTACTTATGGAGTACAATTTGAGATTTTGATACATATATGTATAATGATAAAATCAGGATGGTTAGCATACCCATCACCTCAAACATTTATTATTTCTTTACAGTGAGAACATTCAAAGGCCTCTCTTCTGGCTATTTTGTAATATACAATACCTTACCGTTAACCATAGTAATAGAAAGCGATAAATTATTCATCTTATCTAATTGTAATGTCATACTCATTGACCAACCTCTACCCATTCTTCCTTGTCCCCTTACCCTAGTCTCTGGTAACTAATCTACCTCTATGATATGAACATTTTTTTAAAGATTCCAAATATAAATAAGATCGTGTGGTATTTGTCTATGTATCTGGCTTATTTCACTTAGAATGATGTCTTCCAGGTAATTGTGTATGACAAGATTTAATTATTTTTTACGGCTGAATAGTATTCCTTTGTGTATATATACCACATTTTCTTTATTCATTCATCTGTTGTTGGACACTTAGGTTGATTCATGTCTTGGCTGTTGTAAATAGTACCACAACAAACATGAGAGTGTAGATATCTCATTGGCATACTGATTTCATTTCCTTTGGATATATACCCATTAGTGGGACTTTTGGATCACATGAAAGTTCCATTTCTAATGTTTTAAGGAACCTCCATAATGTTTTCCATAATGGCTGTACTGATTTACAGTTCCTCCAAAACTGTGTACATGTTTATTTTTCTCCACATCCTTGCCAATTGTTTTCTTTGGTCTTTTTTATAATGGCCATTCTAATAAAGTGAGATGGCATCTCTTATTGTGGCTTTAATTTGCATTTCCCTGATTGTTAGTGATGCTGGGCATTTTTTCATATACCTGTGTGTTACGTGTATGCTGTCTTTTGATAAATTTCTATTAGATTATTTTTGTGCATTTTTTAATTATATAATTTGAAGTTTTTTGTTTTGTTTTGTTTGTTGCTTTTGAGTTGTTTAAGTCCCTTATAAGTTTTGGATATTAACCCTTTGTCTAATGTGTAGTTTGAAAATATTTTCTCTGTAGATCACCTTCTCACTCTGTTAGTTTTTCTTTCTTTGTCCCTAACATTGAGATATAGCAATGTTGCTTTTAGGAGGATATTATAATATTTTCATCAAGACAAAGGATGGTTTTAAGCAAAGTAGTGGCAAAGAAGATAGAAGTAGGAGCTGATTTGCCAATGAATTATGGTGAGTGAAGGAGAGAGTGAGAGGTAATAACGATGACTGACACTTATGGCTCTTAAGCAGATGGTCAGATGGTATGAAGTATACAGAGAGAGGAAAGGCTGAAAGTACCTAACTTAGGTGGTAAATGAAAACTTTAATAATAAATATGTTAAGATTAAGATGACTGTAATATTTTAAGTGGAATAAATAGAATAGGTTATTATGTATATGTTTTAGAACTCAAAGAAGAGGTCAGAGCTGGAGAGAAAACTTCGAAAGAAATAAATTTGAGATTCATCAATGTATAGCTAAAGGTCTGTAAAATATTAACAGTATTTCCCTCATTTTAGAGATAAGGAAAGTGAGACACACAGTTAAATTATATAGGTAGTCATTCCAGGTTTTCATTTCTTAACCACTATCATATATTATAATAAAAATTTTCTAATAATCATAAGAATATCGTATTTGATATAGTCAAAGAGTTAAGCCTACTGATATTTGCCTCACACCTGTTACAGGGGATATTACCTCCAGAACCTGTAATGTGTTTATTTTAACTTGTAGTAAATTATCTCACATTAACCACTGATTTTTTTCTTTCCCTCAATTTGGGGTGAGTAATATAATCTGCACCGTAGTTTACATAATACACCTGTATATAACAAAAGCAAAAATAGCCTTGAACTACACAGCTTCAAACTTCATTCTTAAAAAACTTGTTTTACAATCTTTCAAAAAAGAAAGAATAGCAACATCAATTAGAGAAGTACTTTGCCCTCTGTGATCAGAAACTTCTAAACTTCTTGGACATGGTAGAAAAATTATGTTATTTATCTGTCTTTTCCCACCCAGAAAATCATAAGATCATTATTTTTTACCTTGATTATATATCTCCTTTTTGCATTTTGTTGTTGTTGGCTTATCACATCGGTAGTTCACTCAGGAACATCTCAGTTGAACTTATGTGCCATCAATATTTTTTTTCCTCTGTGACCTATATCCTGTCATCTTCTGTTTGTACTATATATATTGTTTTACTACATCTTTGGCACCTACACTTTTTAGAATTTCATTAGTTATTTCAGGGTCATGATGTAAAACTTTGAAAATGCATGAAAAATTCAGTGTGGTACAGTAAATGAGGGTAGAGTCTCAGAGTCATGCTGATTGAATACAAATTCTGACCCCAAAACTTACTATCTTGATGTTTTAGGCAAATTATTTAACCTCCATTAAGAGTCACTTTCCTCATTCATAAAATGGGGATATTGAGTAGTGTATAGATCAGGATCACATAAGGTAATTTGTTTGGAGCACTTAACAGAATACCTGGCACAGAGTGAGCACTTAATATGTGCTCAAATGTTGTATACTTCATTTAAATTACTATTAAGATAATTCTTTGTATTGTATATTGGTTTTTGATTAATGGTTTTCTAAATTTAATGCATTATGGCTGTTGATTTCAGTTGAAATTGAAAGTTAGATTTTTTTCTTCACACAATTGAATACTTAAGTAATCAATGACATTCTTTTAAGTTAAAATATTATGGCAAAACTGTGATTCTTGTTTATTTCCTGACTTACTTAGGGTTTATAGTTTTAAATATGCATTTTTTCATTTGGGACACTTACAAGCACTATATACTGCACACTTAGTTTTAGGACAAAGTTTTATCAGTTGTCAATATTGCTTTTACTGATTACAATGGTTTGGATATTTGACCCTTCCAAATTTCAAGGTGAAATTTGATCATTTAGGAGGTGGAACCTAATTGGAGATGTTTTGTTCATGGGGGCAGATCCCTCATGAATAGCTTGGTGCTGTCCTTCAGTAATGAGTGAGTTCTCACTCTATTAGTTCTCAAAAAACTTAGCTGTTAAAAAAAGCCTGGCACCTCCCTCTCCTCTCTCTCTCACTTTCTTGCCATGTGATCTCTGCACACTCTTGCTCCCGTTTGCTTTCTTCTATGAGTGGAAGTAGTCTGAGCCTCCCACCAGAAGCAATTGGTGCCATGCTTCTCATAAAACCTGCAGATCTGTGAGACAAATAAAGTTTTTTCTTTACATATTGCACACCCTCAGGTATTGTATTCCTTTTTAAGCAACACAAAAATGGGTGAAGACACCAGTTCTTGCATATTCATGCTAATTTTTGATAACTTTTTGAATTTGTAATGCAATCATTGTCAAAGAGATGATTCACCACTTCTTGCAAACCTAACATCAATTCCTGCCTTCTATGGAGTTTGTAAATACATATTCAAGATGACATCAAACAGCCATAGTCACAATATATTAGTCTGCTTTGTTCCTCTGTTGAGAATTATTTCCATAAGATGAAGTATCATAAAATCCAGACTAAAATTATAGCATATGACTAAAAAATGTCCTATAGTGTTAAATTAATTCTGATTTCCCTAAGAATATTTACTATAGCAGAATTTTCAAGTGCATCAGACTCTCTCTTGCCTTCAAAGAATTTGAAATTGATTGAGTATAATGTTCTCAGAACTTAGCTGTTATCCAAATTTTTTTTAAAGTGATGTGCCGTGAAGTCGAGTAATCTAAGTAAAATCTGATTTGTAGGGAAAAAGAAAGACAAAATAATTTTATTTTCCAATGCTTACTACGTGCCAAATTCTGTGTAGATGCTTTTTGTATATAGCCTATTATGAGCACAATACGGTGACCTCACATATTAACAAGTGCTATTGTTCCTAGTTCATAGAGGATACTATAATATAGAAAACATAATTAACTTGCCTAATGTAAATCAGCTAGAAAACAATGGAATTTAAATGCAAATACAGGTGTGTTGATTGCAATCTTCATTCTTTCCACTGGTGTATACTGCTAAAGTTTTAAATATTTGGAAAAATATTTGATGAATATATAATATATTCCTGAAATTATTAGTCCTCTGGATCCACTTTCTACCCTTCTCCATTGCTTTAGGTCTAAAGAGGTTGTCTTGTATAGACTGTATCACTTCAGTCTTGCAAAAGGATTTGGCCAACAGAGTCATCAGAAGAATGTAAAAGAATAGATGAACAGTGAGGTCAAGATACATATTTCCTCTGTTCAATTTCTGTCAGGTCACTATTAGTTGACTGGATCTAGGTTCACAGTGCATCTTGAACATCCCTTTCCATATAGCTCCCATTTTTCATTTCTAGTAATCACTTCCCCTTCAAACTTAGGGTTAGTTACAGCTGTCCTCACTCTCCTTATTAGCCCATGAGTACTAAAACATCACCATTGGTGGTTTTTCTAAATGCTACCCATATATTAGATTCATCACTTTATCAATTGCCCTCAATTCTATATTGTTTGTTTAATTATTACCTTGTGGGACATTTAATAACATAATTAATTATGTTATACTATCTTTGATATTTTAACACATGAGATGCATTTATCATTGTTGTTTACATTGTCATAGGATGTCATTTGTACATAGATGGTATTATGCTACAAATTTTACATAGAACATTTTCTTTCCTTCCAGGTAAATAGTAAAAGAGGGTTGAACTTCATTGCCAAATAAAGTTAATACAGTGTTTATAGTTAAATTATCCCAGAAATCTGTACAGGTGTATACATACTATGGTTTTGGAATAACTTATACAACAAATAGCATTTCTGTTTGATAAATTAAAAAAAAAAATTGAATCCCAAGAAGTTAGGCAACCCTAAGATCAGAGAGTTAAAGTGGATGTAAATCTACATACCACTGTCTTCTCATTTATGCTTTTTATATTTTCTTTGAATTCTTTTATGGGTTTTGATATTTCAGAATCTCCTGAAATATTGTGCAATAATCCTCCTAATTTAGTTTAAAAAAGTTCTCGCAAGTCTATTTCTATGATATCTGAAAACATCTTCTATCAGAAGAATGAATAGAGTGAATGCTTCATTTTGCATTGCTGACTTGACATAGCAAAGTGCTCAACATTTTATCTCTTTGTTTCTTTGTTAAAAATATACTTCAGACTTAATGCGATCAAGTCTGTATACACAATTCTTCCTTGAATTGACAGTTTCATTTTTTCTGAGTTCCTTTTCTTCTATATTTTGTGGTAAAATAATGCTTATAGTGAATTTCAATATTCAATAATCTGATCTCATGGAGCTGGTGACTTGTTACATCTGGTGATCTGTGACTTGTTACTAAGATGTAACTGATATTGATTTTTAAGAAATGTTTATAGTATAAAATCAGTCAACTCAGGAAATATTGCTTGAGCTTAGGAACTGTTTTTCAAGACTGAAATTTTAAAGTAGGGTGCAAAAATTAAAATGTTATATAAATATTTACTTATCTTAAATAATTAAATTTAGTATATCAGAAATTACAATTATTCCATCTCACATAATAGAGAAAGAAATTCACTTGTAAATTTCCTTTCAAATAAGTCTATAGCCTGTGTATCTGATTTACAAAAGAAATAGATAGATAGATAGATAGATAGATAGATGACAGATAGATAGATAATGAGAAATATATATATATATAATGAGATGAATGGGTAAAATTTTTAAAATGGAAATGTATTTTAACATTATAGGCATTCATAATAAAAAGTACTGACATATTCTTGTTAATAATAGTACAGAAATTTCAAATTGGGCATTCAAAGTCACAATAATAATAGCTAAATGCCATTGATTTATTTTCATTTTTAAAAAATTTTACTTTTTGGCTACTATTTTATTTAACAAGACTTAATAGTCAGTCTGAAAGATCTGTGATCTTCCTCAAAGAGCGTTTTATCTATGTTCAATTCTTAACTTTTTATGGCTTGTACATCTGATACCTTCCTGATGATTTTAATTTGCTGAACTGATTCAGAATAGATGTCATGAATTAAGCTAAATAAATAAATTTCAGAGGCCTTTTGTTTCTTCTTTCAACAAAGAACACTTTTGAGACAAGATTGTTCTATTCTTAATATAAAACATTTTATGGGAATATTTTATATATTTTGAGATAGCATTAATTGATTATGATTTCTTTCTTGTGTTTCTAAAGTGAGATTAAAATAATATTTAAAAACCTAAAAAATATTTTGTCATTTTACTGTTTTAGTGTTTATCCATATTCAATGATAATTCAACTTCCATTAAAAAGTAAGGCTATTTATTATAGTGTGTTTAGATACTCTTATTTTTAAATACTACTATCAACGTCTGTGTTGAGAATGTGTGATGCCACTATAAAGTACAAATACATAATTTATTAACTTATCAGCTGAAAAGAAGTCCATAATATACCCAAATTTTAATGGGTAAATGCTTAATGTTTATAATAACCAAAAAAACTCCACTGTTCTTTGATCTCTCATTTGACTCTGTTTTATCTGCACTTAAACCCTAACTCTGAAGTTGAAGCAAAACAGTATATAGCGAAAAACTCAAATTCTCACTTCTTTTTACGTAGGAAAAATATTTCTCGTCATTAAAGATTTTTTGCTAAGGTTTTATTGCCCGCTGGACTCAGAAATTACAGTTAAGACTAAAAATAAAATTCACTGGATCTTTACTACGTTATTATTTCTTTCTTAACTTTTCTGTTTCAAGTCTCTACTCTCCAAAGCCTTTTTTTTTCCTTACAGAAGGGTTGATTTGAGCATCATTTTTATTTCATGTACTGTGCTAGATGCTATGGAAATAAAGAAAACGTACTGCCTGTTTTCATGTTGCTTTGGTCCAATAGCAAAAAAAAAAAAAGTATATGCTATCAATTAGAATGCTTTGTAACACGCTTAATAATAAAAATATGTCAAGAAGAAGTAGTACATAGAGTTAATTATTAATTGCACTGAAGTCATAGAGATACAGGTCAAAGAGATTATGAGTGATATGATGGAGGTGCAGCATTTTGCAGGATAAAGACGGATAAGAAAAAAAAAGTTCCTAAAGACAGATGACTGGTGATAAGAAATTGGGTGTTACTTTTCAGGAAACTCAAAGTGGCTCACCACTGTTGGAAAGCAAACTTTAAGAGGAAGTGATGGGAGCAGGGGCAGGAAAGAAACATAGAGTCCAGGAAAACCAAGAAATCCCATGGTTTTTGTGCAAAGCTAAGGGGTGTGGGTTTTTTTAAATCACTCTTTGAAGGATTTGAAACACAGAAATGATATCATCAGATTACTACTTTGAAAAAAGTATTCATATGACAGCATAATGAGTAAAATTGCTAGAAAGTCATAGTAGATATAAATAACCTAGAAGGTATAGCAAACATTGAAGCTGGTGATGATGAGAGACAGAAGTGGACTTGAATTGAAAGCAGAAATAAATATTGGCTTTTGGGCTGTGAATAAAAAAAAATACTTAAGACGATGGCCTGATTTGTTTTCTGAGCAACTGGATGCTAATCAAAGAGAATGAGTAAGAGAAGAATCTTATCTGGGATCCTGGAAAATGAATCTCGTTTTGGGCACATTGAGGCGCTAGTAAACAATTGAATGTCAAGTGAATATCGTGAGCAAGCTTCCTCAAGAATAACAGACTTTTCAGAGTAAGGAAAAGAATTTGACCACTAATCCTAAATTTATAATGTCTGACATAAGGAGGTATATGAAATAGGCATTAAAAATCTGTAAATGTGTCTAGTCTATTTCCAGAGACCATGGGCAAGAATAAAGTTCAGTGAGAGGCTCTTATCACTTGACTTTAACCTCAACATTGTTGTAAGATACATTTTTGTTATGCAAACTCAGATTATATTGTACCTTGGCTGTTTTTTTTTTAATGACATGTGAAATACAAACTCTGTGAATTTTGTTTAAATTTTGTTCTTATCGTTCTAAATGCACAGGTATAAATAATGTGGTGTCTTCATAAAATTTAAGTATGAAAACAACACACCAATTTAAGGCACATAATATATACATAGAATACCTTTTAGTAAGTAGTATAGTTAAAATAAAGTGTAATCTATTTATTGTGGAGAATAGATTACAAACTTGATGCAGTAGAAAATGCACCAATATAATAATGAAACAGAGAAGAATCAGAGGCCGTGAGATAAGAAAAAGAGTGTAAGTTATTTGACTTTTTTGAACAAGAGCATCCTCATGGGTAAATACATTTGTATTTTGCAGGGCTACTATTAGGGCTAAAAAAAAACCCTGTAATGTGACTAGAACATATTTACACTCAACACATGATTGTTATTGTTATTAATGTTTGTTATTATCAATATTATCGGTTCCAGTACCATTGCACTAGCTATGTATATACGCATCTCTTTCTATGTTCATGTATAAAAAATAGGAAAAATGGTTATCCATGGAAAGATTATAAATACAAAATGACTAGCATATCAATTTTTTATATCAAATGTATGTTGACAGTATAATCAGTAGCTTATTTATTTTTTAGTATTTCAAGGAATTTTCATATTTATATTAATATGCAACATCAAAAATTAATAAAATTATTACATATGTACACTTGTTTTATTTTAAATCATATTACTCTATGTTAGGAAAGTGGACAGTTGTTAAAATGAAGTACACAATGCTTTATCACCACAAATCTAAAGGAAATTAAATGCCTGTTGGAGAGCACAAGTCTATGTAATGAAATCATCCTTATAAAATTTAAACATTATTCATATGAGACAGTTTCTATTAGCTAGTTTGGTCTTTCGTTTAAAATTTACAAGTAGATAGCTTGAGTAAAATGGCATCCTTATTAGGAAGTCCAAAAGTGCTATCTGTGTCTCTATATATTATAAATTGTCTATCCTACTCCATGGAACTACTGCTGTTGTATCTCAAAAGACTAAACCCACAATGACTTCTAATTTATGAAGCCCTAAATCAAAGTTTTCAACTTAGAGATGCTATCAGTTTAAATCCAAACATTTTAATATGATTTTTAAAGAATGACTCATTTAGAGTGTTTTACTCTTATTCTGACCTTTAAGAATTATAGTAATGACCAAATCATTTTACTTAAAACACATTACAGAGTTTTACTTTATCTTGACTTTTTACTTTTTTTTCCTTTCTAATTCAGACAGCAAAACTTGTTCATTGTTAACAATTAGATAATTTACAAAAGTGTACACTAAAAAAAAACTCTACCATTAGTTTTTTTATTTACCATTGAGGAAGTCATGAGTGTTATTATTCTATTTGAAGGAATAAGATAGGTAAACTTTCTAAAATACTTGACTAAAATACTTCACTCAAACTACCCAGGTTTGAACTGTGTGGGTCCACTTCCACAAAGATTTTTTTTCAATGAATATATCAACTTTTTGAAGATTTGCAATAACTTGAAAAAATTCACAGATGAATCCCCATAGCCTAGAAAATTTTAAAAATTAAGAAAAGGTAAGATATGTCATGAATACATAAAATATTCGTAAATATTAGCATGTTAGCATATTTTATCATTTACTACCATAAAATATACACAAATCTATTACAAAAAGTAAAAATCAAAACTTGTGTACACGCTTACAGATAGTAATGGTGCCATTGGCTGTTGAGAGAAATGTAAAAAAAAGTAAAAATACTGTATTAAATTATAACTGTATAAAATTAACTATAATAATATTATACTAATGTAATAATTTTGTGGCCACCTCCTGTTATTGCGGTGAGCTCTTGTTGTATCCACTTAAAACACCATGTGATGCTAATCATCTCCCTGTGAGCAGCTTGTCTCGCCAGTAAATTGCATACTGCAGTAAAAAGTGATCTCTCATAGTTCTCATGTATTTTCCGTGGTGTTTAGTGCAATACAGTAAACCTTAAATAACACCATGAGATCCATATGCAGTGCCACTAGTGATGCTAGAAGTGCCTCCAAGAAGCAAAGTCATGACTTTGTAAGAAAAAGGTAAATTGCTTCATATGTACCATAGAATAATGTCTGCAGTTCCAGCAGTTGCCCACCATTTCAAGATAAACAAATTCAGCATTAGGACCATTGTAAAAAAGAATAGAGAATTTGTAAAGCCATTGCTGCAATTACTCCAGCAGGCACAAAACTTTGCACTTCTTGTGAAACATGTGCCTTTTTATCTTGTATTAAAAATGCAGCTTTTATGTGGATGCACATTGCTATAAGAAAGGCATACCTGTAGACTCACAAAATTTGAGAAAAAGTGAAGTCATTATATGACAAAGTAAAAGGAAAGTGAAGGATCTAAAGCTGGAAAATTTAATGCCAGCAAAGGATGGCTTGATAATTTTAGAAAGAGATTTAACTCTAAACAGTGTCCAGATAACAAGAGAAGCAGCTTCTGCTGACCAAGAGGCAGCAGAAAAGTTCCCAGACACTACTAAAGGAATCCTTGAGGGGAAAAGATATTTGCCTCAACAGATTTTTAATGCAGATTAAAGTAGATTATCCTGGAAAAAAAAAATGCTACAAAGGTGTTTATTAGTAAGGAAGAGAAGCGATCACCAGGATTTAAGGCAGAAAGGGATAGGCTAACTCTACTGTTTTATGCAAATGTTGTTGAGGTTTTGATCAACTCAGCCGTTATCTATAAAGCTACTAATTTCCAAGAATTAAGAGGAAAAGATAAACACCAGCTGCTGATCTTTTGTCTATCTGACAAGAGGTCTTGGACGATGAAAACGCTTTTACTGGATTGGTTCGATTAATTATTTGTCCCTGAAGTCAGAAAATACCTTACCAGTAAGGGACTGCATTTTAAAGTTCTTTTAACAGTGGATATTGCCCCTGGCTACCCAGAACCCCATGAGTTCAACAGTAAGGGCATCACAGTGGTCTACTTACTCCCAAACACAGAGTCTATGATTCGACCTCTAGTCCAAGAAGTCATAAGAACCTTTAAAGCTCATTACATATATTACTCTATGACAAGGCTTATCAAGGCTGTGGAAGAGAACCCCAATAGGGAGAACACTGTGAAAGTCTGGAAGGATTACACCATTGAAGATTCCATCATTGTTATAGAAAAAGCCGTAAAAGTCTTCAAGCCTGAAACAATAAATTTCTGCTGGATAAAACTGTCCAGATGTTTTGCATGACTTCACATGATTTACAACAGAACGAATTAAGGAAATTATGAAAGAGATTATAGCTATGGCAAAAAAGTAGAAGTTGAAGTGTTTCAAGATAGACTCCTTAGAAAAATGCAAAAGCTAATAGACATCACACCAGAGGAATTAGAAGAAAACAACTTGATGAAAGTGAGTGCTTCCAAACCAGTGTCAGAAGATGAGGAAGAAGATGTGGAAGCAGTGTCATAAAACATACTGGCATTAGAGAATCTGACAGAGGGTTTGATTTTTCAGGATTTATTTTTACTTATTTTATGGCATGGACCCTTCTATTAGATGGATACTAAAATTAAAGCAAATGGTAGAAGAAGGATTGGTACTATATAGAAACGTTTGTAAATAAATGAAAAAAGAAAAAAATCAGACTGAAATTACAATGCATTTCCATAAAGTGACAGTGGCTGTGCTTGCCTCTCCTGACTCCTCTTTTTCACCTCTCCCACCCCTGAGACAACAAAGCCAAACAATCCTCTTCCCCCTCTGCCTTCCCAGCCCATTCAGTGTGAAGACAATGAGGATGAAGACCTTTATGATGTTCTACTTTTACTTAATGAATAGCAAATATTTTCTCTTCTTTATGATTTTCTTAATAATATTTTATTTTCTCTAACTTATTTTGTTATAAGAATACAGTATGTAATACATATAACATTAAAAGTATATGTTAATTGACTGGTTATGTTACTGGTAAAGCTTCTGGTTTACAATAGGCAGTTAGCAGTTACATTTTTGAGAAGTCTACAATTTTACGCAGAATTTTGACTGTAGGAGAGTGAACTAGGACTCCCACCCCTAACCCCTGTGTTACTCAAAGGTCAATTGTACTTAAACATTGTTGAGGTATTAAATATGGACAAAGGTTCAAGCAGTGTTTATGGATTAAACTACTTGGAAAACTACACGTGAAGCCCAAAATCCAGGTCAGCATATTCTTATTGTTTATCCTTCAAAATTAAATCGAGGTTAAATGTATATTATAAGCAATTATCACCATATATTATTATACAAGTTCTAGCAAAAAATTAAATTTTTTAAAGGGAAAATTACATTTTAAAAATTAATGGTGTCTTCCATGTAGTTAGATTTTCTTTGGAATTTGTTTTAGTAGAATAATGAGGTTTTGTTTATTTTTTAGAACTTAAATTTAATGAAGTTTTGGATTTAGTTATAATAAAAATTACACAATTGTTATATATGCAACTACCGTAATACCTATGTAACACCTTAGAGCATACAAATGTGTATTATTATAGTTTTATAGGTGTTTATAATTATTTTCAGATTCGTAACTTTGTGATCTGTCGCTTTGTGTGAACATCACAAAAGTTTTGTCAGATAAGCAAGGGAAAATTTGTTTCTGTGTTCTAAATGAAAAAACTGGAACATACCAAGTTAAATAAAGAGAAGGCAAATTTGAGAGAAGAACTAACGTATATGCCAAAGTAAGAAGTCAGAACCGAACCATTAGAAAATTTTAGGATGCCCCCAAATTTTCAGAACTAATTTCTCCTAGTGACTCAAGATACTATTTGGGCTATATCTTTCCTGTACTTTTTTTTTCTGTCATAGTGTATTATATATAGTTTTGAAAACTGCCAAAAAAGAATGAAGATATAAATTAGAAACCAGGTATCTCAATAAATTCAAAACTTGGACTATATTAATACACTTACGAAAATTTCTAGATTTAAATGTATTTCTTTGTAAAGGCATTTTAAAACATTGAAATTATATGTGAGAAATGACAGGTATTCTTTGGATTTCAATGTTATTGACATAAACAGTGTACTAATGTTAAATAAATAATTTAACAGACAATATTGTCAGAGCTGCTACTGTATAATTTTAGTATAACCAATTATCGCATTGATCTTCTTACTCTTCCATTCTTTGGCACTTCTGAAAAGACAGCCACCCAGGTGCTATCTTAAACTTCTTTCCACAGGTATGAATTTGGCATATTTTAACAGTGTTGGAAGGTACAGATATATACGTTCCTTCTTAGGACTCATGACTCTTACCCATGCTAATTTCTTGTTTTTAAAAAACTGATAAAAGTCATAAGTGTGTCACTTAGCATATGTATTATTTCTATTCCCAATGTTTGTTCAAGTGATATGGTGGAGCTGGGCCTCTCAACTTTATCACATCATGCATACATGGAAAATGATGCCAGCACCATGTGCAGGGGGAAATGGAGAAGGCCTTTGGTGGCTGGAGCAAACAGGCCTGGGGCATAGGCGACAGCTCTAGGGACTGACTGAAGAGAAAAATATTTCAGCATACTTCTAATGTATCAAAGTCACCAGTTCTGAGTTGTGTTTTGTTTTTAAGTGTGTGAGGTTTAAAATTTTTTGAGTAGATGCTCACATCCAGGCACAGACACCTACTAACTCTATTATATTGGGTAAGTAACTTCATTTCTTTGACACTCAGTTTTTACATCTGTAAAATGGAGCTGATGAGGATGACTACTTCAGACAGTGTCTATGATTAAATCAGAGTGTTGATTCCTTAGCAAATTCCTTGACAAGTACTCAACATTCAATAAGTTTCATTTTTTACCCACCCCTCATTCCCATTCTACCAAGTTCAGATCTACTTGGAACAGAGTTGGAGAGGGCCGTTATAGGTGTATGGAGCACTCTTAGTCAGAAATGAATTAAGTCATGGAAATAGCATAAAAACATATGTGAGAAGCAAGCATGTGTCATCAAGGTCCAAATGAAATCTGTTCATTGAATGGAAAGAAGTTATTCATCTGCTTTTTGTACAGGCTCCTCTGTCAGCTCTCACAGTACTTTGGCAACTGAAAATCAAATCTCTTTCCTCTGGCAATAAAACTTCCCCATTCATCTATCTTTGATAGTTTGACAATGGTGCCCTTGTGCTTCTCATACATCTCAATAAAGGAAAGTGTCATTTTGTACCATGTATTTAGTTTTGTCATCTCTGTACTCAGTTTATAACCAACGTTAGACTTTTAATGTTGAAGAGGATTTGCTACGTGAACTCTATATTTGCAAAGAGAAAGGCAATGCACAGGAAACAGAGAAGACAATATTGGAAATAAATGGAATGATGCAAATTAACTCATTCACTTCCAAACAAGATATTATGTTCCAGACAGAATAAATAATTTGGCAGGGAATGTATAATTATTGAGTGGCAGAACAAGGTCTGAAGCCAGAAATTTCATCTGATCTGTCAGTGTCTTTTCTAAACTATAATTGCCTTCCTATTAGTGAGTATGTTTTCTCCCAAGGGCAGTTGAGGAAAAAGTGTTGCCTTTACAAAGTCTGTCATGAAAGGGCCATGCCCTTGGATATAAAGAGCAGTCACTGGATTATAGGGAGTATCTTCTGCAACATATAGGCATACCTCAAAGATATCGCAGGTTCAGTTCCCAACCACCGCAATAAAGTGAATATCACAATAAAGCAAGTCACACAAATTTCTTGGTTTCCAAGTGCATTTAAGAGTTATGTTTACACTATAATGTTCTCTATTAAGTGTACAATAGCATTATGTATAAAAATACATAATTTAAAAATAATGTATTACTAAAAAATGCTAACAATAATCTGAGCCTTCAGCAAGTTATAATCTTCTTGCTAGTGGAGGGTCTTGCCTCAATGTTGATGACTGCTGACTGCTCTGGGTGATGATTGTAGTAGGCCGGGGTTGGCTGTGGCAATTTTTTTAAAAAAGACAGCAGTAAGGTTTTCCATATCAAGCATGCAAGGCTCTTTGATAGCATTCCATACACAATAGAACTTATTTCAAAATTGGAGTTAATCCTTCAAACCCTGTCACTTCTATTGCATCTAAGTTTATGCAAGACTCTAAATTCTTTGTTGTCATTTCAGCAATGTGGACAGCATCTTCACCAGAAGTAGATTCCATCTCATGAAACCTCTTTCTTTGCTCTTCTCTAAGAAGCAACTCCTCATCCATTTAAATTTCATCATGAGATTGTAGCAATTCAGTTACATCTTCAGGCTCCACTTCAAGTTCTAATTCTCTTGCTATTTCCACTACATCTGTAGTTACTTCTTGGACTAAAATATGGAATCCCTCAAAGTCATCCATGAAGGTTGGAATCAGCTTCTTCCAAACTTTGTTGATATTTGATGACCTTCCATGGATAACAAATGTTCTTAATGGTATCTAGAATAGCTAATCCCTTCCAGAAGGTTTTCAATTTACTTTGTCCAAATCCATCAAAGGGATCACTATCTGTGGTAGCTATTGCCTTGCAAAAGGTATTTCTCAAATAATAAAACTTGAAAGTTGAAATTACTCCTTGATCTATGGGCTGCAGAATGGGTGTGCTATCAGGTGTGAAAACAACATTCAACATTTGTACATCTTCATTAGAACTCTTGGCTGACTGGGGGTATTGTCAGTGAGCAGTAATATTTTAAAAGGAATCTATTTTTTGAGCAGTAGGTCTCACTAGTGAACTTAAAATATTTAGTAAACCATGCTGTAACCAGATGTGCTGTCATCTGGACTTTGTTTTTCCATTTCTAGAACAAACAAATACTGACTTTAACCTGAAGTCACCTGCTGCATTAGCTCCAAGCA
This sequence comes from Homo sapiens, assembly GCF_000001405.40. Classification (NCBI taxonomy): domain Eukaryota; kingdom Metazoa; phylum Chordata; class Mammalia; order Primates; family Hominidae; genus Homo; species Homo sapiens. The sequence goes on along the minus strand of NC_000004.12, from coordinate 134,272,045 downwards.
AGAGATTAAGCCTGTCCTTTGAAGCTAAGCATTGACTTCTCCTCTCTAGCTATGAAAGCCCTTGATTGCATTATCCTCCAATAAAAGGCTGTTTTATCTTCACTTAAAATCTGTTGTTTACTATAGTCACCTTCAGCATTTATCTCAGCTAGATTTTTCTGCATTACTTGCTCAAGCTTTTTCATCAGCACATGCTGCTTTACTTTGCACTTTACATTATGGAGACAGGTTATTTCCTTAAACCTCATGAACCAACTTCTGCTAGCTTTTAACTTTTCTTCAGCTTCATTACCTCTCCAAGCTTCCCTAGAATTGAAAAGAGTTAGGGCCTTGCTCTAAATCGGGATTTGGCTTAAAGGAATTTTGTGACTGGTTTGATCTTCTATCCAGGCTATTCAAATTTAGTTCATATCAGAAATAAGGCTGTTGTCACTTTCTTATCATTTGTGTCTTCTCTTGAGTAACACTTCTAATTTCCTATGATAATTTTTCCTTTGCATTCACAACTAAGCTGTTTAAGTCAAGAACCCTAGCTTTTAGCCCATTTCTATCTGGACATGCCTTACTCACTAAGCTTAATTATTTCTAGCTTTTGATTTAAAGTGGCTCTTCCTTTCATTTGATGACCTAAATGCCATTATAGGGTTATTAATTGGCCTAATTTAAATATTTCAGTATATTTCAATATTGTTATGTCTCAGAGAACAGGGAAGCCCAAGAGGAGGGGAAAGACTGAGGAACGGCTGGTTAGTGGAGCAGTGAGAACATGTCAATTAAGAACATTTATCAATTAAGTTTGTCACTTTATATGGTCACAGTTCATGGAGCCCCAAAACAATTACAATAGAAATATCAAAGATCACTGATTTCAGATGACCAGAACAGATACAATAATAAAAAAAACACTTTAATATTTTAAGAATTACCAAAATGTGACACAGAGATGGGAAGTGAACACCTGCTATTGAAAAAATGGTACCCGGCTGGGTGCGGTGGCTCACGCCTGTAATCCCAGCACTTTAGGAGGCTGAGGTGGGCGGATCACAAGGTCCAGAGTTCAAGACCAGCCTGGCCAATATGGTGAAACCTCGTCTCTACTAAAAATACAAGAATTAGCCGGGCGTGGTGGCGCATGCCTGTAATCCTAGCTACTCAGGAGGCTGAGGCAGAAGAATCCCTTGAACCCAGGAGGTGGAGGTTGCAGTGAGCCAAGATCATGCCATTGCACTCCAGCCTCGGCAACAAGAGCGATACTCTGTCTCAAAAAAAAAAAAAAAAAAGGTACCCATAGATTTGCTCGACACAGGGTTGCCACAAAGGTTCAATTAGTTAAAAATGCAACATTTGGCCAGGTGTGGCGGCTCACGCCTGTAATCCTAGCACTTTGGGAGGCCGAGGCAGGCTGATCACCTGAGGTCAGGAGTTTGAGACCAGCCTGACCAATACGGTGAAACCCCGTCTCTACTAAAGATACAAAAAAATTAGCCAAGCATGGTGGCGGGCACCTGTAGTCCCAGCTACTTAGGAGTCTGAGGCAGGTGGATCACCTGAGGTCAGGAGTTCGAGACCAGACTGACCAATATGGTGAAACCCCGTCTCTACTAAAACTGCAAAAATTAGCCCGGCATGGTGGCATGCGCCTGTAGTCCCAGCTACTCAGGAGGCTGAGGCAGGAGAATCCCTTGAACCCGGGAGGGGGAGCTTGCAGTGAGCCTAGATCGCACCACTGCACTCCAGCCTGGGCTACAGAGCAAGACTCCCTCTCAAAAAAAAAAAAAAAAAGAAAGCAGCATTTGTGAAGTTCAATAAAATGATATGCCTGTATTCTTTAAAAATCACAAAATAGAGCAGATGAAAATGGACATTCTTTACACATTTGAAGTATCATGGATAATTTAAATAAGTTGTACATTTTAATGGAATAGCAATATGAATAGAATATATGATATCTGTTTATTTGGGTAATATAGCAATTCGAGTAGAAAAAAATCAGTGATGTAAGAAATATCTCTATAGCTGTCATTTACTTGTACCATTAATTAATCATTTACTATATGTTACTCACTGTATTAAGCTGTTTATACAAATTTCATCCAATAATCACAAGAATCCAATGAAGAAATCTTATAATTAATATCATCTTAATGATGAGTAAACTGAGCCAAGTTAGAGAAGTTAAATGACATGCACAATTCATACAAATATAAGAAGTAAATTCAAAATTTGGACACAAGCCTGTCTAACTACAAGTACATTCCTATCACAATGCATATCATATCACTAATATTAGAATATTTAAAAGAAGCCTCAGCTAAGGGTCAACTTGTCTACCTTTGACTCTTTTCAAGAAATATATTTTGTGTCTTTCTACAATCTTGCATATATGTTTAGATATCTTTTCTTTTGTTCTTTAAATGGCTGCTACCACTCTTAATTCTCAGTGAATTAACTTTTACAGATTTGTCAGAGGACTGTTATTGTCTAGCCAACTCAGTCTAGGCAGGGTCATCATGGCCATCTCTAGCCCCTTTATTGCTGTCTCATATGGGTCATCTTTGTCCTCTCAATGTCTAAAATAATCTGTATAAGCATGCCACTTTTAAAGGTAAATGCAGAGAGTCAAAAATTTTATGTCAATAATCCAGACTGACAAGTTTTACAATGCAAATTTACCAGACATGTATGAGAATAATAATGCCTTTCAACACTAGGTGAAACAGTATTTGGAAGTAGTTTATATTATTATTTAAATTGTGATTGGCTTTCAATGAAAAAAGGCAAGTAAAAAAATCAGCTGAATCTCATTATACATCGAATACTGGAGAATATACGAGAATATGTTAACAATGTTTACTTCTTGTGAAAAGAATTACCATTGGCAGTACCTTCTTCTATTTTTTTTGTATTTTCTAATTTTCTGAAATATTATATTATTATGAATTATATATTATTATATTTATAACCAGTGAAAACAGTTTCATATAACTGTCAAATTTCATTAAAGTTATCCTCTTCTTCCTCTTCCTCCTCTTTCATTTCTTCTCCTTCTTCTTCTATATTTTTTCCTAAAGTAGCTTTATTTTTCTCCTGGCTAGTGGGTAGTTGGAAGGACACGTAACAAAACACATGATAGAGTCATATAACCATAAAAATATGAAAAAAAATCATAGCCCTAAAATCAAAGTGATAATTTTTCCTTGCTACCATATTAGTACAATGTCAATTATGCTTTTTCTAATGTTTCTAGTAATGATAACATGGCACATATATTACCAAATGTAAACTATTTTTTATTTTTTCCTACAAGAATCACCTCAGGAGAACTATGGCATATTTTAGCCTTATTTAATATGTTTCTGAGCTCCTGTGCAGATTTTTTTTGAAATGTATTCTAGAAGAAATACATGAAGTAGTTTCACCAGATTACATAATAATATTGTAAAATATCAAAGGCAAAGAGCTACTTGTGAGGTGGCATAAAACCAATAAAATTCAATGCACACTAAGATTGTAAGTGACCAAGTGGCAACAGTTTTACAGTCCTAAGAATGGGTGACAAATTGATTTTCTTTGCCAGGACACTTCTATTCATGAGGAAAAAGAAAAAAAAAAGACTTCACAAAGTCCAACCAAACAGTAGTAATGACTAAAATGTAATATGCAGAGAACACTCTACTAAGGCAGAAGACAATAAAATTGAGAAGAAATCTATAAAACAAAGTCAACTGTGAGATTTCAGATATATACAGTGAATTGGTTTTGTATAGTCAGGTCATTTTGTATTAATATATTGAGAAGGTAGTACATATTTTGCCTGAATTACAACATTTGACAAATTATATAGGGTAAATTTACCAGGTAATTGTGAGTAACAAATTTTAGTGTCTCTATGAAATAAAATGATTTTTGAAGGAAGGTTTCAGGTACATTTTGTTATCTTTGTTTTCTTTTAATAATGCAGTCATCTTTGGCTTCCAGAGTAAAATGAACAAAAAAAGAAAAAGAAAAAAAAAAAACGCTTACTCTATAGGATCACTATATCTCTGCAGGTTAAGTCAAATCTGAAAAAAATAATAATTTCCAAAGTTTTTCCTCTTTAGGTAACTCTAAACTCAAGGAGAGACTTTTTAAATCATAGGATTTTCATATCTCTAATAGGCACTTCTAATCTGAAATTTCCCAAACCAACATGTTCCCCCACAATCTCTTCCTCATTGGTAAATGATGCAAACATCCATTGAGCTGTTACAAACAAAAAGCTGTAAGTTAATCCTGCCACCTCTATCTCTCTTACCTCCTATACTTCCTATACTGGATTCATCACCAAGTTTCCTAAGTCCATATCACAAACCCCACCTTCTTCATGCAAGGTAATAATAAAGTCATACCTGGAGAACTTTGGTAATAGCCTCTTAAGGTGTCTCACTTCATATGTTCTTGCCTTACTCCTATTTTTCGTATGATAAAATTTAAGCCCTAGGATAGTCCTACTTGAAAATTTGTCACAGTGTTTTCTTTGTACAGAGAATAAAATGAAAACACACTGCAGTGGCCTACATGGTCTTGTCTTATCTGGCACCTTACCAGGTCTGCAAATCGTGTTTAACCCAATTCCTTTCCTGTCTTCATGGCCAACCACATGCTGTCCTCCTTTAAGCCTTCAGCATCTTCAGAACTAGCCAATGTGGCCTCAGGGCCTCTGCATCATGATGTCACCTCAGTTTCAAATTTTCTCTTCCCTCCAATGCCCTTCACCCCCTCATCACTATCTAACATACTCTTCAATTGACCTTCTCATTGTACACATTAGGTTTTGCTGAAAAATAGCAGTGGTGGATTATAGCATGTCAATTTCTCAAAAAAAAATTAAACATAGAATATGATCCAGTAATCCACTTCTGAGTACCCAAAAAAATTGGAAGCAGAAATATGAACAGATATTTGTACACTGATGTTGATAGCAGCTTTATTATAACCAGAAGGTAGAAGCAACCCAAATGCCCATCAACATATGAATGGACAAAGAATAGCATACACATAAAATAGAATATTATTCAGCCTCAAAAAGGTATGATTTTCTGATATGTGCTACAACATGGATGAGTCTTGAAAACATTGATAATTAAATAAGCCAGACACGAAAGAACAAATACTACACATTTCCACTTATATAAGGTAAATAGAGAAAGTAGAATAGCGGTGATCAGGAGCTGTGTGGAGGAAGAAATAGGGAGTTATTGTTTAAGGAGTAGATAATTTCAGTTTACAATGTTAAAATGTTTTGGAGAATGATAGGGATGATGGTTCCACAACAATGTGAATATACTTATGCTACTGAATTGTACACTTAAAAATTGTTAAATTTATGTTGTATTTTACCACAATTTTTAAAAATCTCCTAAAAATTACAGTGGCACTTCTTTTTTAATTTTCTCTCTCAACAACAAGCATTTCCCATATTAAAATTATCATTAAAATTTAACGGTAAAATAATTTGAATTTATCATTGTATATCTGTATTTTTTCATATGATTAGCAAATCTTCGCTATATGAGCCTGTAAGTTTCATGAGGGCAGTAACCTTGGTTTCTATGTTTTCTTTTCCTTCTTAATTCTTTTTTTGTTTGTTACCCAGCCCAAACTCCTGGCCTCAAGCAATCCTCCCACCTCAACCTCCCTAGTAGCTGGGGCTACAGGTGTGCACCACTGTGCCAAGTTAATTTAAAAAAAATAGAGATGGGGTCTCACTGTGTTCCCCAGGCTGGTCTCAAACTCCTGGCCTCAGGCAATCCTCCTGCCTGAACCTCTCAAAGTGCTGGAAATGCAAGCATGAGCCACTGCACCCAGCTTGGTTTCTGTATTTTCTATGTTACGTAGTTTGGTTTTAATTATCTCACTGCCGACTTTGTGCCAAGTTGAGGGACCAGCACCAGTAGCATTGAATCAATCTCTGCTAAATGAATGGCTAAAGGCTACATCTCTAATACAACAACATATGATATATGTTTAAATAAAATTTGATTTTGGCATATTTTTAGATTTACAACAGTTTTCCATATAGTCTTTACTATTTTCCCTGATGTTGACATCTTATATTACCATGATACATTTTCAAACTAAGAAAAGCAATATTGATATATTGCAATTCAATAAGCTTGAGATATCATTTCAATTCCACTACCTTTTCTACTTATCCCCAAGATCTATTCCAGAACAATGATATTTTTGATGTAGCAATGCGGAGTGATAGTTTTCTGAATTACCCTAATAGTTTCCAGAATAAGACTGTAATACTTATAGGGAAAATAAATACATATACTTCTTGTCTACACTATTTTATATACATATATAAACTTAAAATGTAAATATATCATTTCGTAGCGCTCCATTATGACTTTTTTTTGATTAATTACCCAGTATTATATTTTTTTCTTTATTTCCTAACTTGGTGTTTCTTCATTTGTTTACAGAAAGAAAAGAAATTTACGTAAGTAGTTTCCAAAAGAAAAAAAAAATGTGTCTCCTCTGGAAATATAGTTTTGTATTCAATTATTGCTTTTTTTCTTTTTTCTTCTTTTTTTTAAAATATTTTTTTTGTGCTCACACATTTTAAATATCCTTTAAACTCTAATCACAGAATGTAGAAAGCAACTATTACAGTGTATTTCAAAGCACTTTTATCCCTATTTTTAAATTATTTATCATTTAAGTATTTGTTTCTATTAATATATATCCATGCATTACATATACTGATGCTCTCAGATTGGCAGACACTTAAAAGAATAAACAGTTGTGGACAGAATCATGCAAAAGCATCTGTGAGCAAATGTCACACAAAACAAAGAACATTTTCCAACAGCTGAGCGTCAGTTTGGAGACATCAAAGGAATCACATGAACTCCATATATTTTAGAGACAAATGTTAATTCCAAGTTTCTTTTAAGAAACACAAACAATTCTATCATAATCATCTTCCTTAAGCAAACAAACAAAAAAACCAAAACCAACTGAGTATTTTATATGTAGTTAATAAAGTATTTTGATATAAAAACAGATAAAAAAGATTTCAATGTTCTTGCCTAAGAACACTGGATAAAAATCAAGAACAACACTATATAACTTATGTTAGAATTCATGTTTACTTATATATTTATTGACACACAAACATTTTAATTACGTGAAGGAATGTCTTACGTGTATAGTGTTCAAAGCTGACTAATGTTAATTCTACACATACTTATGTTTTTATTTCATTAAGACATACTAACTTACATGTTTAAATATTTCTTAAACGTTATACTTGCAACAAAATCAACATCCTTCTAGCTGTATAAAATATTATTTTCAAAATGATTTCTAAAAATGTTTCCTCCTAAATGTGTCTAATGTTACGATGCATTTATATTGTGTCTTTGATAGTACTAATCCTTTGGCAATGGTTCCAAAATTTTAGCTTGTCATCATTTTGCAACTAAGTAAAAATAATCTGTATTTTACTTCTACCAGCAAACTAATTTATCATTGTAAATCTAATTTTTCATTAACTAGAGCTCACAATATGCACTGAGTTATTCAACAACACATACATTATTTATTCTAAGAATGTGGGAATAAAACAAGTTAATATTAAAAACATATTAAAAAGAGAAATGGGACTGCTTTATCCTGGAATCATTACAGATACTACTCGATATCCTTCGGTGTTTATAGATAAGCAATTAAAAGAAATGATACTTATATTAACAATGCAAGTCAGTGACACCTGAAATTATCCAATAAAAATAAAGTTTGAATCAGCGTATTTTATTTCCTGAGTGAAAAATATATTTTGCACCCACTCTTAAAAATAGTTTAAATTTTAAAAAAGGTATTTGCTAATTCCAATTTAAAGAAAATATCCCTGCATTCAAGCATTCTCATTAACTTCATTACTTATTAGATATTAGCCTATTGCTTTGCTCTCAGAAGTAATGGAATATTTTATCATTTTATTCTGTTGATTACATCTTTTTATGTGAGTGATTCTAATTTTAGTTCAATGCATGCCTTCAAGATTTCATGTGTGTATTTATTAACAGAGTGTCATGTAATACCAGAAATAATAATAGGTGTAAGACTCTTACTCTTTTGTGGAAAGTGTTATATTGGAGTAGAATATACTCCAGTGTACTCTACTGAAGTAATAACTTCCAGTAATGATTGCATTTTATTCTATTTGGAGCAAATGAGCAGAAAATATATACTACTTGGTATTTAGAAAATAAAATATATACAGAATGGAGACTTCTATTTAATTTTGTGTTTTAAAGATTTTATTGTCAACTAATTTAGCTCTTAGATTCTGGAAATGTCTTGCAATTTTTCTTTGAGCTTTTCTAGCTTTCCTATGATATAACAAATGCAGTTAAATTAGTGTCATTTTCCACATTTTGTAACTCTCTCTACAAACTAAAGAATTATTAATCCCAATCCCATTACTCTTTTCTTTTGTTATTAAATGGTTAGTTATAGCTGTACTTTAAAAATATCTAGGTACTGGGTCTTGAAATTCTGGATTGAGACATTGCTTTGCTTAATATTTTGATCATGCCTGACTATATGAGGGCAATAGTAAAGTTACCTTAATAATAGCCAGAAGAAATGCCTCCAATCCAATTGGTCACAGAGCAGCTATCACCAAAACCAATTTCTTTATAATTAAATGGTGCTCCCAGGCACTATAAAAACTTGGAAGTTGCCCACGGATTTGGAGGAAGTAGGGGGATTTTTTTTTTCATAGACAGCAACCCACATTGAAGCAATTTCTGAAACACACTGATAAGCTTTGCTTTTGAATTTACATTAAAGAGCTCAATAGTTGCTACCTGTGAGAACAGCTCACGCTGCTAAACTGACTTATGTCCTGTAGAGATTAAGGACAGAGGCCTCTAGAAGATTAGCATGTCACTTGGTTTAAGTGACACCCAATCCATTTTATTGACATGGATTCCATCCTGCAAAACAAGCACTTTTTGACTAAAACATAATGAAAATTTGGAGTGCCTCTATAGACCACCATACAATACGTTTTTACACATTAGTGCTAGCTAATGTAGCCAGTGTCTGTAAATGAAACCAACAGTCCTCATTATGTATGGTGTGTAGACACATGCCTCAGAATACTAATTTAGTAGAGCATACCAAAGAGCTTTACATTACTTTTTAATTTTACCCAAGTCTTGCTATGGTCTAAAGGTATTAAGCCGTATTCATTGAATTCAGCAGGCTATTACTTTGCATTGTTAGGATTCCTATTGCATCTCAGCATTCAGTTGTGAAGCCAAACAGGCTTTGATTTGATTTCTAATTGTTTGTTTTCAGCAACTTGAACCTGTGTTTTTTGCTTCTGTGTACAGCAGAAAGAACATCAGTGGGCAGGTGAAGAGTTCTCTCATTTTACTTTCAAGGCCATTCTAACACAGATTATGTTCTGGATTCTACCCCTGTTAGGATAGAGCTGCATAACACAGATGTGAAATATGACTGAATTTAAACTGTGCAGCTACATTTGAAAGTTGACATTTTATAATGTTTCTGCCAGCTACTTGGACTCCATTATTATGGGAAAATAAGCCTGTGCTAACACCTTGGAAAATAATGCTACCATGCTTTCTCTTTTGTTTTTGATCTGCAACATAAAAACACTGCATGATCATGGCATTATGTAAAGATTTCACTAAAGAAAGCACATTACACAGCACATGAACAATTATTTTCAAAATTTTCCACAATTTAAAGAGATTTGTAAATTCATTTATAGACGTAGAAAGGAAAAATAAAACATTCAGTACCAGACTTTGCTAATCACTTCAAATCACTTTAACGTAAGTTAAAACTGAATAACAATAAAATATTATTAAAAATAAGTTTTAATAACTGAGGTTTGATAGAAAAGCCCTTTCATAAAATACATATTATTTTTACAGTATAATAATTGTTCACTTTGTTATTTTTCATAATGAAACATATGTTTTGTTTCCTGTTTCACTTTATTTTTTGCATCAACATATAGAAATTTATTCTTGAACCTACTGATGGCCTGAATACTAGCAAGCATCTACTTGTTGCTACTTTTGTTTTAGTCTTATCTCTGAGAACTAAAGTTGATTAGCAGAAAAACTAAATCTGGACAGGTGAGAACAAACTGGTTGAAACAAGTACTTCATATTTAATTGTCCTTTCAGTTTAATCCTTCAAATTTAAACACCAAAGATGAGATGGCTATATCTCTCAGTCTTCTTGCGATCTTTCCAGATTTAGCTTTACCTTAAACTATTGTTTGATGCAATTCACTGTTTCTATAGGATTTATCCCATGAGATACATGATTATTTGTAGATGTTCTAGTTCACCAGCATGGTTTTGCTCAGAGGAAATATAAGACCACAGAGGAATCTCAGTTTCACCATAAAATATGTCTGTTATTAGACAGATACCCCACAACATCTCTGATACTCATTTTCCTGTCTATAAAAACAGAAGATTTCATTATATGACATTTTCAGATAACAAAACTCCATCATCACCCCTTAAGTCTTGTCACAAACCAGATGGAGTATTGTTGAGTACATCAATGAGGGTTAATGTCTTGGCCGCCTCATGATAAGCACCATTTAAAGTTATCTATGCAGTTTATTCCAACAATCTCATCAACCATAAGGTAGATATTCAATTAGTATAAGGGATGATATGGTTTGGCTCTGTCCCCACCCAAATTTCATCTTGAATCATAGCTCTCATAATCTCCACATGTCATGGGAGGGAGCCTGGGGGAGGTAATTGAATCATGGGGGCAGGTTTTTCCCATGCTATTCTCATGATAGTGAATAAAACTCATGATATCTCATGGTTTTATAAAGGGAAGTACCCCTGCACAGGTTCTCTTGCCTGCCACCATGTAAGAAGTGCCTTTGTTTGCTACCTTCTGCCATGATTGTGAGGCCTCCCCAGCCATGCGGAATAATGAGTCTATTAAACCCCTTTATTTTTAATAAATTACCCAGTCTTGGGTATTTCTTCATAGCAGTATAGAAATGGACTAATACAGTAAACTGGTATTGGTAGAGTGAGGTACTGCTATGAAGATACCCAAAAATATGGAAGCAACTTTGAAACTGGGTAACAAGTAGGTGATGGAACAGTTTGGAGGGCTCAGAAGAAAACAGGAAGTTGTGGGAAAATTTGGAGCTTCCTGGAGACTGGTTGAATTGTTTTGACCAAAAAGTCCAGGCTGAGGTGGTCTCAGATAGATATAAGGAACTTACTAGGAACTGGAGCAAAGGCGATTCTTGCTATGTTTTAGCATAAAGACTGGTGGCTGTTTGCCCATGCCCTAGAGATCTGTGGAACTTTGAACTTGACAGAGATGATTTAGAGTACTGGTGGGAGAAAGTTCTAAGCAGCAAAGTGTTCAAGACATAACTTAAAAGCATCAAGTTTTATTCATTCACAAAGATATGCTTTGGAATTGGAACTTACATTTAAAAGGGAAACAGAGCTTAAAAGTTCAGAAAATTTGTAGCCTGATGATGCGGTAGAAAAGAAAACAAAACATCTTCTGTGGAGAAATTCAAGCTGGCTGCTAAAATTTGCATAAGTAACCAGGAATCAAATGTTAATCACCAAGACAATGGGGAAAATGTCTCCAGGGCATGTCAGAGGATTTCATGGCAGCACCTCCCATCACAAGCTGGGAGGCCTAGGAGGAAAAAGTGCTTTTATGGGCCAGGCCCCAAAGACTTGCTGCTTTGTGCAGTTTCAGGACTTGGTGCCCTGTGTCCCAATCATGGCTAAAAGGAGCCAATGTACAGATGAGGCCATTGCCTTAGAGGTGCAAGCCCCAAGCCTTGGTAGCTTACATGTGGTTTTGGGCTGATGGGTGCACAGAAGTCAAGAACTGAGGTTTAGGAACCTCTGACTAGATTTCATAGGATGTTATGGAAACACCTAGATATCCAGACAGAGTTGTGCTGCAGATTTTCCCTCACGGAGAACCTCTGCTAGGACAGTGCAGAAAGAAAATGGGTTGGAGCACCGACCGAGTCCCCACTGGGGCACTACCTAGTGAAGCTGTGAGAAGTGGGCCACCATTCTTCAGACCTCAGAACGGTAGACCCACCAGCAGTTTGCACCGTACACCTAGAAAAGCTATACACACTCAACACCAGCCCGTGAAAGCAATCGTGAGGAGGGATGTACCCTTCAAAGCCACAGAGTAGGAGGTGCCAAACGCCATGGGAGCCCACCTCTTGCATCAGTCTAACCTGGATGTGAGATATGGAGTCAAAGGAGATCATTTTGGAGCTTTAAGATTTGACTGCCCTGCTGGATTTTGGACTTGCATGGGACCTGTAGCCTCTTTGTTTTGGCTAATTTCTCCCATTTTGAATGTCTGTATTTACCAATGCCTGTACCCTTTTTGTATCTAGGAAGTAACTAACTTGTTTTTGATTTTACAGGCTCATAGGTGGAAGGAACTTATCTCAAATGAAGTTTTGTACCATGGACTTTTGTGTTAATGGAGAAATGAGTTAAGACTTTGGGTAATTTTTGAACAGCATGATTGGTTTTGAAATGTGAGGACCTGAGATTTGGAAGAGGTCAGGGGTGGAATGATATGGTTTGGCTGTGTCCCTAACCAACTCTCATCTTGAATTGTAGCTCCCATAATCTCTGTATGTCATGGGAGGGACCCAGTAGGAAGTAATTGAATCATAAGGGCAGGTCTTTCCTGTGCTGTTCTCATGGTAGGGATTAAGTCCCAGAAGATCTGATGATTTTGTAAAGAGCAGTTCCCATACACAGATTCTCTTGTGTGCCGCCGTGTAAGACATGCCTTTGCTCCTCCTTTGCCTTCAGCCGTGGTTGTGAGACCTCCCCAGTCATGTGGAACTGTGAGTTCATTAAACCTCCTTTTCTTTATAAATTAGCCAGTCTCAGGTTTTTCTTTGTAGCCATATGAAAGTGGACTAATACAAGGGAAGACCACACAGTGCAACAACTTCAGGCATTTTTAGGTGTATCTTTTCGGAGATGTTTTTCTTTCTTTGACAAGAAAATGATATAATGTAACAGAAATAGCACATGCAGAGACATCGGGAAAATTGCTTAAACTCTCTAAGCCTAGTTTCTCACCTGCACTAGATTTGATTTAAAAATAGCTGTATCACAGGATGTTGTAAGTATTGAATTATATCGGGCATTCAAGATTTTGTGCAGAGTCGAACTTGACTTGTTTATTCCCTCAGCTACTTCCTTACTCTTCCCATCCAAATATTTTATTTTGAATTAGTGGGAATTTGGCAGAAATAGTCTAGGAGCCAAAAGCTGGAATTCTGTCCTTGAGAAGTTGAGAATTGGATGTTCTGAGGGAACTTGAAACTTTCAGAGAAGTGATCCAGAATTGCAATATTTATCTTCCTGTGGTAAGCAATTAAATTAATGGATAATGCTTGTTGTGTTTGGAAAAAAGCATTTTGTTCTGGGGATATCCTCCTATGCCATAAGCTCTTGATAGACCTTTTTCTCCCTGACACACACACACACACACACATACACACACACACACACACACACAGAGACACACAAGGAAATTCTTCAAGTATTCACATGATTTTGCCAAATAATGAGACAGTAAAATAGAGAGAGTAGGACAGGGAGATAGGATAATGGTAAACATTTGTCATTGTTTCATTAAATGATTTAACACTCTGCCACTGTTAAACACTAAAATTTTAGATGCAGATACAAATGCATATCCAAGATACATACTTGAAGAAAAAACCTTGCAAAATGTTTTTATATGCACTGAAAATTTATGCAACAATACAATAAATTGTTAAGCACTGGATAATCATAATGTGGTGGAAAGAAAGTGGCTGAGGAGGAAAATATTCACTTCTGATTCTATATCCCTTTAGATAAATGTTAAAATTCAAATAATGCAAGTATCACTTTTATAATTACAACAAAGAGGATATTCTATCTACAAGAACCAGAATTTCTCTTGACTTTTTAATATTTGTTTAGGAAAAGGGTTGCTTTGTGATGGTAAAGGTAGACTGTGAACTTGAGCTCTAATAACTCCTCCACCAAGAACTGTTTGTCAGCAATGGGGGAGTTGCTGTATGGGGCAAGAGGAGTAAATTTTGCTTTTAACATGAAGCATAAATAGAAGGAAAAAGAAAGAGTAGCAGAATCTGTGAGGACCTAGTTAGATAGAAATTAGAGCTTGGGAATTTAGAGCAACGATGAAACCTGACAAACTAAAATATGTATACACACACACACACACACACACACACACACACATATATATATATAGAGAGAAGTATATTCTAGTTGCTATAATACAAACCGTTCATTATATCTGTAAGTTTTTATTTAAATCTGAGCTACTCTGGCCTGAAAATTGTCTATCATTTATCTGTTTATCTAGCTAGCTACCTATGTATTGATTGATACTAGTGAAAAAATTGAGTTTTTTTCCTCTGCAATGATATGCCACAAAATAAAAATGACGTATGTGATTGTGGAGACTTGAGGCCAGAGTGTATTTCAAGAACATGATTTTTTGTTAATCCAGGGAAGTCATTAACTTCTTCAAAAGAGGCAATTTTAGGCAAATCTATCCATGTTTCACAGGATAAAGAGTATGTATCTCTATATTAGTTACATTTTTAAAAATCATTAAAATTAAAATTTCATTTAAAATAGAGGAAACTTTGCATGTGATTACTATGAAAATTTGAAAAATAAATTGAACAGTAATAAAATACATATATATTATTAGCAGGATATTATCTACTCTGGGATCAGAAAGTGTACAAAGAAGTTATTTCTTCAGCCATTTCTCTTGAGTAAGGGGAAAAAAGTAAAAGGGAACATGGTAAAAAGAATGAAGTAAGAGTACAAACTACCATTTATGGATTTCTGGGAGCTTTTTAGTGCCAAGGTTTTGATGAATAACTTCATTTCTGTTTGAGGATCAAACTGTTTTGCTTGAGAGGCAGAATTTGTTTTGGGATGTGAGAAGAAATTGTGAGCTATATAAGTTTGAATATAAAATAATGAAAAAGAGGAAAAGAATGTTTTATGTGTTCATAAATATATCCCTTTAGATATATGTTAGATATATGTTACCTCACAAGGTACTTTCTTTAGGAATTAAATGAGTAAACCTAGCTTGATAAAATCTAAGATTTCTTCAGTGCTTACAGACCTATGAGAGGTTGTTTCTACCCAATTTAAATACACAAATCAATGATTATAACCTAATTATCAGGGAGTTCACTTTATCTTGGTAGAGAAGAAAAGGGATGCTTAAAAAAACAAAGGGTTATCCTAGAATATTGATTTTTAAAAGTGAAAATGAGTAATTTTGAGTACTCATTTTTAGTGATTTTGGATAAATGAAATAATTTTCAGTGTTTCATAGGCACCGGATTTTAACAAAATGTTTTTCTTCCTTATTCTAAACTTCCATACATAGTCTATTTTAAAACTTCTTGAGAGCTCCGCTTTGAAGACATGCCTTCTTCGTTCTACAAAATAAAAATATTATATGCTTGCATCCAAAATTTTACTATAAAATATTGTCCAGGGTCTAAAAGTGTGCCAAAAAAGGATTACTGTTTTATACTTATAAGTATTGAAGGCATGAGAGATATGAAGAGAGTTATACATGAATGAATATCTTCAAGATGTATATCTGAAATGGGAATTATGATCTATAGAGTCTGTATGTCTTCTACTCCACAAAACCAATTTTAATATTTTTTCAAAGTGCCTTTAGCATCCTACCCTTTAAGTAATAGTGTATAAAATTTCTGATGCAGTTTCATCAGTGATATCAGCAAGATGGTGAAACAGAAAATGTCCTGGCATCACTTCCCCAACAAAAATACAATTAGAAACTATTTAAAGACAAAAATATCATTCTGAATAAACCAGAACTCAGGGGAGAAGCCAAGAAAGCTTTTAAGTTCATAGAACTGACAGAAGCCATGAATAGTAAAATAAATGGTCATTTTAATGTGTGCTACTCTCTCCCCAAAACTGGCATAACACCTCTCACAGAGAATTTCTCTAGACCAGTCAGGCGTGATGGCTCATGCCTGTAATCCCCTCACTTTGGGAGGACAAGGTGGGTGGATCACATGAGGTCAGGTGTTCCAGACCAGCCTGGGCAACATGTTGAAACCCCATCTCTACTAAAAATGGAAAAAAAGATTGGCTGGGCATGGTGGCTGGTGCCTATAATTCAAGCTATTGAAAAGACTGAGGACCACTTGAACCCAGGAAGCAGAGGTTGCAGTGAGCCAAGATCATGTGACTGCACTCCAGCCTGGGTGACAGAGTGAGACTCCAACTGAAAAATAAAAATTAAAAATGTAATAATAATTTCTCTAGACCTGTGGTCTCTGAGGTGAGAGGAGGGAATTAAAAGTGGAAGTACAATCTTCAGATTGCTCTGTAAATCTTTACAGGAAATCTACTCCAGTCCTGTCCTGTGGAAACTAATGGGAGTGCCAGGAGGCCTAACCATCTGAGGTGAATTGAAAAGAAAAAGCAGCGTGCTGATTGCAGTGACTGGTGCATGGATCTCGATGGCTACTCTGTACTGTAGGCAGTGATGACACCCTGTTGAGGAGATTGGTAGGAGCCATAGCAACACAGGAGGCACAATTTTAGGGATGGTTTACATTCCTAGCTGGAGTTTCCACAAAGCCCAGGTGCTTGCATAGAGCCTTACCCTTGCCTATAAACAACTACATGGTTTAGTGTCCCCGTAAAATTTCCCTAGAATGGGAAATAATGTCAGGGCAGCAATACAGTTTGGGGCAGTATTTAAGATCTAGTGCTCAGCTTAACATAAGTCATCCTGAGACTGAGAAAAAAATGACAGGCAATAATTTAGTTTCAGTACAGTATTTTAGTTCCGATATTCACTATAAGTCCTTCCCAGGAATTGAAACAACATTCAAGTGTTTAAATTTAATACTAAGACATAACCCCTAACATCACCAAAGAACATCTGCAAAAACTGGAAGAGGTGGGTGTCTCCTCAAATGTGCAGGCATCAACATAAGCACATCAGAATGGTGAAAACTCAGGTAGATATGAAATTACCAAAAGGCATCAAGGAGGCTCCATCGATGGATCCAGAATAAATAAAGATCTGTGAGATGTCTGACAGAGCATTCAGAAAAATCTCTTCCTCTCTTTATATAAATAATGGCTGGGAATTCAGCCATTCCAAATCTGGAGAACCCCTAAAGAAGTTTAGAAAATCACAAAGAAATATGGAAAGTAAATAAAAATTAAAAAACAATCAATTAACAAAATGAGAAACTTGAAAAAAATAGAAACAATATTAAAAGTCCAAGGAATAAAAATTAAAATAACTGAACCAAAAAACTCATTAGAGAGCTGTCACAACAGACTTGATCAAAAAGAGAAAAGAATTAGTGAACTTAAAGATGGAATATATAAAATTACCCAATCAGAGAAGCAAAAAGAAATAAATATTTAAAAAGAGTGAAGAAGGTCTATAAGAATTATGGGAAACCATCAAGTAAACTAATCTCCGCATAATTGGAATTTTTGGGGAAGATGAGAGAGAAATAGGCTTATAAACACATTTAAGAAAATAATTGCTGAAAAGTTTTTAAATCAGGAGAATTATGACAGTATCCAGGTTCAGGAATCTCAGAAGTCACTAATCAAATTCAACAAAAAGTAGGATTTCCCAAAGCACGTTATAATCAATTTAGCAAAACTCAAATACATAGAAAAAAATACTCAAACTAGCAAGAGAAAATAAACATTTTACTTTCAACAGATACTCAATATGGTGTTGAGCAAATTTCTCAGCAGAAATGCTGTAGGCCAGGAGAGACTGAAATGCTATATTCAAAGTGCTGAAGGGAGAAAACAAAACTACAAAACAAACAAACAAATAAACAAACACCCTCTGCCAACCAACAAAACTGTATCTGGCAAAGCTATCTTTCAACCGTGAAAGGGAAATAAAGACTTTCCTAGATAAGCAAAAACTGAGGTAATTCATCAACACCAGAGCTGCCTGAGAAAATGTGGTACATATTCACTATGGAATACTACAAAGCCATAAAAAATAATAAAATTGTGTCCTTTGCAGCAACATGGATGCAGCTTGAGGCTATAATCTTAAGCAAATTAATGTGGGAACAGCAAACTAAATACTACATGTTCTTATTTATAAGTGGAAGCTAAAGATTTAGTACACATGGACATAAATATGGGAACACTAGATGCTGTAGACTTCTAGATGGGGGAAGGAGAGAGGAAGGCATGGGTTGAAAAACTACCTATTGGGTACTATGCTCACCACCTGGGTAATGAGATCTGTATCCCAAACATTAGCATGATGCAGTATTCTCATATAACAAACCTGTACAAGTACCCTTTGGTATATAAAATGAAAGGTAAAATTTTTAAAAATAAATAAATAATAATTTTTAAAAAAGAAATGCTAAAGGGAGTTCTTCCGTCTGAAAGAAGTGTACACTAATTTGTAACAATAAAACATCTGAAGGCATAAAATTCACTGAAAAAAGTAAAGAAACAAAGTTAAAATACTATGGATACTGTATTCACGATAAGTCAACCAGTCTTTCTACTTATATATTAAGTGAGAAGACTAAAAGGAAAAACTTTTAAATACAATAATAACTAAAACAATAGGTTAAGAGATGGGCAATATAACAACCCGTAAATTGAAACATTGCTACATCCAAACGGAGAGGGGAATTGTGTTATAGAGTTTTATTTTCTTTGAGATCAAAGTTATGTCACTATAAGTTTAAAATAACTTGTTACAACTATAGGATGCTTTTGTAAGCCTTATGGTAACCACAAAGCAAAAATCTATAATAATTACACTAAAAATAAATAGCACAGAAACCAAACATAATATTAGAGAAAATCACTTAACCATACAAGAAGACAGAAAAGAAAGAAAGGATCTTCAAAACAATTTTTTAAAAAAGTAACAAAAGGGTAGCAGTAAACCTTTACCTATAGATAATAACCTTAAATGGAAATGGATTAAATTATCCCATTAGAAAACAGAGGGACTGAATAGATCTGTAAGAACCAAACTCAACTATATGCTACCTGCAAGAAACACACTTCACCTGCAAGGAAACACTCAGCCTGAAAATGAAAGGGTTAAAAAAAAAGTAGCTCCATACAAGGAAACCAAAAAAGAGCAAGAGTAGCTATAACCATATCAGACAAAAGAGACTTTAAGTAAAGAAAGATAAAAGTAAAATAAAAAAAGACAAGGAAAGCCATTACATAATGATAAAGGGGTCAGTATAGCAAGAACTTATAACAATTATGAATATATTGCACTCAACCCCAAATCACCCAAAAAATGTAAAACAAATGCTGATAGACATAAAGAGAGAATTTGACTGCAATACAATAATACTAAGGGAGGGACTTCAATACCCCACTTTCATTAATGGGTAAATCATCTAGACAGCAAATCAACAAAGAAAAGTCAAACTGTATCATGGGCCAAATGACCTAACAGACATTTGCAGAACATTTCACCCAACAGCTGCAGAATACACATTTTCTTATCAGCACATGGAACATTTAGACCATCTATGAGGTAACAAAACAAGTCTTAAAAAATGTTTAAAAATCAAAATCTTATCAATTATCTTTTCTGACAATAATTGAATAAAACTATAAACCAATTGCTGAAGGAATATTGGAAACTGTATAAATTTATTGAAATTAAACAACCTGCTTCTGAGCAACAAATGGGCCATTAAATAAATTTAGGAAAGAAATTTTAAAAATTATTTGAGACAAATGAAAATGGAAACACAGTATATCAAAACAAGCAAAAACAGTTCTTGGAAGGTTTTAGCAATAAACATCTACATCAAAAAAGTAGAAAGACTTCCAATAACCTAACAATTCACCTTTTAGAAGTAGAAAAGCAAGAATAAATCAAACACAAAATTAATAGGAGGGAAGAAATAATAAAGATCACAGAAGAAATACATAAAATTGAGACTAAAAGAACAACATGGAAGATCAACCAAACAAAAACTTGATTATTTGAAAAGATAAACAAAATTGACATACATTTAGATAGTTACCATTAATTAGAAAACAAAAGAAAATGCCCGAATAAAATCAGAGACAAGAAAAGGGAAACATTACAACTGGTATCACAAAAATACAAATAATTATTAGCTAATATTATGAACAATTACGTGCCAACAAATTGGAAAACCTGAAGAAACTGACAAATTCCTGGACAAGTACAACTTACCAGGATTGAACCACGAAGAAACAGAAAAACTGAAGAGACCAATAAAAACTGAGATTGAAGTAATAATAAAAAAACCTATAATTAAAAATTATAATTTAATATAATTTAATATAATTTAATACTATAATAAAAAATAATAAAAAATAATTATATTTTTTATTATTTTATTTTAAATATATTATTTTAAATATATTAAAATAATATATTTTATTATTATATAAATATAAATATAATATTTACAATTAATAAAAAATAATTTTAAAATCCAGAGAAAAGCCCAGGACCTTAGAGCTTCACTGCTAGATTCTACCTATTGAATAAAAATGAAAAGTAATTCTACTGTACTGTTCCAAATAATTAAGTAGGAAGGAATACTTTCAAACTTATTTTTTAAGGCCAGAATTACCCTGACACTAAACCCAGAAAAGAAGATAACAAAGAGAAAACTACAGGACAATGTCCCTATTGAACACAGATGCAAAAATTCTCACCAAAATACTAGCAAACTGAATTCAACAACACAATAAAAATATCATTGACCATTAGTTTGTATATCAATATATGCAAACTGTGAATGATACATTATGTTAACAGAATGAAGAAGAAAAAAATCGTAATCATTTCAACTGATGTTGAAAAATCATTCAATAAAATTTAACATCTCTTCATAATTAAAAACTTTCAACTGGGTATAGAAGGAACAGACCTCAAAACAATAAAGTCCATATGTAACAAATCCACAGTTAATACCGTACTGAACAGGAAAAAAAACGAAAGACTTTGCTTAAGATCTGGAAAAAGACGAGGATGCTCACTTTCACCATTATTCAACATGGTACTGGAAGTCAACCTAAAGCAGTTAGACAAGAGAAAGAAACAAAAGGCATCTGAATTGGAAAGAAGGAAGTCAATTTGTCCCTGTTTGCATATGACATGATCTTATATACAGAAAAAACTAAACAGTCTAACATATAACTCTTGACAACACATAAACCAATCCCATAACGTTTCATAGTATAGAATCAACATACAAACTTTAGTTAATAGTGAACTTTCTAAAAAGATATCAAAGGCACCAAGAATAAACATTGTGGAAAGGAGAGTCTAGTGAGGATGCAGAGAAAGGGGGATACTAGTGTACTGTTGGTAGGAATGTTAAGTTAGTGCAGCTACCATGGAAAATAGTATGGAGGTTCCACAAAAAACTAAAAATAGAACTTTCCAGCAATCCCTACTGCCATATATATATATATATATATATATATAAATTGCTATAGTAAAGGGATGTCTGCACTCCCATGTTTACTGCAGCTATATTCACAGTAGCCAAGATATGAAATTAACCTAAGTATCCAACACTGATGAATAAATAAAGAAAATGCGGTATACATACATAATGGCATAGTATTCAGCCATTAAAAAGAATATAATCATGTCATTTGCAACAACATACTTGGAACTTCAGGTCATTATGTTACCTTTAGTGAGCCAGGCAGAGAAAGACAAATGGTACATATTGTCGTTCATATGTGGAAGCTACAAAAGTTTATCTCTTGGAAATAGAAGGTAGAATGATCATAACCAGAGGCTGGAAAGTGTTGGGAAGAGAGGGATAAGGTTGGTTAATGGGCACAAAGATACAGTTAAATAGAAGGAGTAAACTCTAGTGTTTGAGAGCACAGTAGGGTGACTATAGTTAACAATAATTTATTGAATATTTCGAAAGATTTAGATGGTTCTCAATATAAAGAAATGATAAGTGTTTGAGGTGATGGATATTCTAATTACTTTGATTTGATCATAACAGATTGTATGCAATCTGTATCAAAATACATCAAAATGCAGATGTATCAAAATATCATATGCACTTTATAAATATATACAATTATTATGTATCAATTTAAAACTGGAAAAAAAGAGCTTCTGTTGTTCAACATCCTTTTCAACCAATGTGATAGGCATGCAATGCTATTTCATTGTATTTCATTTTTATGATAAAATTGGTCATTTTCCTACTGTTATGGGCCACTTATATTTTGATTTTTGATGAAATGCTCTGTCAGTTTTCCTTGTCCACTTTTCCATTGTAATATTTACCTTTTTGTTATTTATCTTAGGTGTTCTTCATATTTTCTAAATTTGAATTCGTGACTGCTAAATGTGTTTCAAATATCTTTTCAGATTCATAGGGTTTGGTGTTCACTTTGTTTTTATGAGTCTTTTGATGAATATAAGTACTTAAATTTAATACATTTCAATGTATCATTTTTTATCCATTAAGCCATGTGAAATTCGTTTTGCTTAAGGTATGAATGTTATTTTAATTTGAAAAATCTATATAATAAAGTAATCCATAAATACTTAAATAGTCTATCCAGTTCCACTGATTTGAACAAACACTTCTGTTATATCCATATTCCATAAATGTATAGGTCTGTAGCTTTCTATTCTGTTCTCCTTTTTTATTTGCCTTTTTTGTACTATTTCCACACTGTCCTAAATATTTATAGCTTTAGAAGAAGTCGTTATATTTAAAACTAGAATTCCTTTTTCCTTGTCTGTTTTCAGGAATTTTTCTGTTTTTCTTGTCCCTTTACTTTTCCAAATAATTTAGAATAAAGTTGTCAAGTAGAAAAAATATATTGTTATGATTATAAATAGAATCACATTAAATCTATATCTCAATTTAGAGACATTTGTCATCTTTGTAATATCTTTTCCTATGAATATGATATAACGTTTTATATCCTGTTTCATTTCTTTCAATATATAATATGGTATAATTTCATTTAAAAAGCTTTTGTAGAACCTTAGATTTATTCATAATTTATTTTTGATACTATTCTTAAATTTCAGACATCATTTGATTTTTGTATATTGACCTTGTGTATGTCAAACTTGCCTAACTTTATTAATTTTAATTACTTGCTTTTGTAAACTTTTTGTAAACTTGAGTTTTATTTCAGTCTAGAATCATAACATCTGGCATCACTGATATTTTTGTTTTCATTTCTAATGAATTTTATTTCTTTGTATTTTCTTATGTTTATGGCTAAACAACCAATTTTGTGTTGAATGTAAAGGCTGACAAGAAATATCCTTTTATCATTTGTGATATTAAAATGCATTATTTTAAAATAATAAAACATTTTTACATATACATTTGTACATTTTGGCTTTGCTTTTTAAAATTAATTATGTTTATTTTGAAATAACTGTAGACCCATGCAGTTTTAAGAACTAATATAGAGACATTCAATGTATCCTATTCAGTTTTTTCCTATGGTAACACCTTTTAACACCAGTACAGTACCATAACCAGTATATTGACATTAGTAAAATGAACTGATCTTATTCAGCTTTCTCCAGTTTTACAAGTACTGATTTATTTGCACAGTTTCTATGAAGTTCTATGAAATTTTAAAACATGTGCAGGCTTGTGTAGCCACCACCGCAGTCAAGGTGCAGAACAGTTCCAGCACCACAATGATTCCTCTGTCACTTTTTTATAATAAATTCTCATACCATTTCTTTCCTCATCTCTCAGCCCTGTAAATAACTAATATGTTCTTCATTTCTATAATTTGTCATTCCAATAATGTTTTATAAATTGGATTCTACTGTATGCAAAATTCTGATACTGATCTTTTCACACAGCATAATTCTCTAGAGATTCTTCTAAGTTTTTGCATCATTCATCAATTTTTTTTATTGTCGAAGGGCATTTCATGGTAAAAATGTACTACAGCATATGTGGTGTATACCCAGTGTTTGACTATTATGAATAAAGCTTCGATGAACGTTTTTGTGTGAACATAAATTTTTATTTTTATCGGTTTTTGTGTGAACATAAATTTTCATTTTTTTCTGGGTTAAATACTCAAGAGTGAACGTGTTGGATTGCATGAAAATTGATTGTTTCGTTTTGTAATAGCAACTGCAAAACTAATTTTTAGAGTGTCTATACCATTTTATATTCTCACCAACAATATATGAGTGATTCAATTTGTGTCCAGGTAACTTGTAATAGTTGTTATTGAAATGTTAGCTCTAAGGAAAGTAAGCCAATATAAACAACTGACCTGAAATTGCCATGCTGTGAAAAGTCCAAGTCCATGAAGAAGTCTTGGAAGAGAAACATCATGTTGAAAAATATAGAGGCCAAGGGGCACGGGAGTGTCAGACTGTCAGTGAAGAAGCCAACTTTGAAGTAGGTCCTCCAGCCCCAGGTACCATGCTAATTTCATGTGTACCAGAGTTGAATATATAGCTAAGTCCTCCTTGAATTCTTGAGTCATGCAATTATGAACAAATTTAAATGATGATTTTAAGTCACTAAGTTGTAGTGTTCCTTTGATATAGAAGTTAGAACAGCAAAACACGTAACAAATTCGGTAAATGTTAGTTATGATCATTTTTAAGAGCTAATCTTTGATATAATACCCTTTATATTACTAAATTACAATGGATAAGAAAATGTTTAAAAATCAAATATAAAAGTGGACACATGGTAGATACACATAATTAAGAAACAGAGGACCAATAAGCTCATGCTTATTGCTTTTGTCCTAAAATATGGACAAATTTTTCTTTGTGAGGATATGAAAAAATATGGTGTATCTATATAGGTGTGTATAGTATATATGCATATTCATAGATACAAACAGTGAAATTAATATGTAATATACTTTAAGATTTTATAGTGAATGACAGATCTTTCTCTTGTTTATATTTTTAATTTTTAAAAAATATCTTAAAATAAGCAAAGCATATATTCAGAAAAATACATAACATTTTGGGGGGTTCTTGATAGAGTCCACATTTATGTTTATTTAATATTTATGTAGTAAGTTTTCACATTTAAACTCAATTTTACTTATTAAAATTTCTAAGTGCTAATTTTAAGCTGATAGCAATAAATGTTTTCAGATGAGAGACTGGTAAATGTTGGGGATTTCTTGGTAATGTGAAGGAGCTGAATAATGTGTAAATGGAAAAATATTAAGGGGAACATCACACTCAGGGGACTGTTGTGGGGAGGGGGGGGGGAGGGATAGCATTAGGAGATATACCTAATGCTAAATGATGAGTTAATGGGTGCAGCACACCAACATGACACATGTATACATATGTAACAAACCTGCACATTGTGCACATGTACCCTAAAACTTAAAGTATGATAATAATAAAATAAAATAAAATTTAAAAAAAAAGAGTTTTTAAAACTTGTAAAATTTTCTCTCATTATGAGGGGATAAAAAAATGTGTTTTCTGGAGGAACAAGTTATAAACCTTTTTCCAGGTAATTACATTAGCAATTAATTACCTGGAAATTATAGTTTTCCATTTCCATACTCTGATAAGTCTGAAAAAATTCATGTATCTCCCACCTTTGCTGATAGAGAACTGTGTGTATTATTTTCCTTAGATTACTTAATATAATACTTCATAGTCACTTTTTGTAGATAGGAACAAATGGAATACAGTATAGTGAACATTTACAAAAATATTATTGGTACATTTACATATTTTATCTAAAGTTAATATGTTTTTCAATTTAAAAAGGCTTTTGGATATTCATCATGTATCATTACCTCAATTTATGCCTCTGTGACCAATATAGCTAGTAATAACTTAAAAGAATTAAAACAGAAGAAAGAAAATTTGTCACCTCTTTAAATTTTAAGTCTTCCTTCCTTTATTATAAATATTTGTTATTATTTTCTTTTCATTTCCACTTTCTTCCTTTCTTTTATTCTTGTGGTATTGTGTATATATCTTAAATGCAAAACTGTTTACAATACATAAAAATGGTAAAAATTTTACTTCTCTCCATTTGCCTTTATTGTATTTATTAATTATTGCATATTTTATTCTATTTTAAAACAAATTACACACAAAACAACCCCTTCACCAGAAAAGAAAGAAAATAAATTTAGTTCTATCTGGTGCCATTGTTTGAACAATACTGTTTTTTTCCTTTACTCAGCCATTCTTTTTTTCTTTCATGTTGGAAATATTTATAAAGTTCCTATCATGGATGAGGCACTAAACTAAACATTTGTTGTATGGTGCTGAAGAGTAGAAAAATAAATTCATGCTCCAATGGGAGCTTACATTTCCACAGAGTACTAACTTTAAGTAAATGTTTTCATAATTATGTCATTAGAATTTTGATAAGCAATAAATGTGTTTGTTATGTGTGTTTTATGTTTACGATTTATTTATTCAACAAATATTTATTGGTCACTGCTCTGTTCCACCGTGCCCACCGTTGAAGAGAATGGAGTTTTTAGAGGGATTATTTTGAATACAGGGATGCTGCCTCTCTTTCCTCTCACGTGAGGTTAATTTGCTAAAATTAAATTGCTGTTGCTGCCTGTGTGAAATTTGTTCCTGATCTTCAAAGGTCATATGATAACCAAAATGAGGACTACAGCAAACAAAGTTGTGGAATAATCCTATTTACCCACTGAAAACACCCTAAACGTGTTCTCCATAGCACTCACTATTCTCAAACTCACTCCATTCTTCCAACCTTGATTATCTTTTTCTTTCTTACCTCAGCATGATTATACAAATTACATCTACTCTAAAAGTTTCAGAAGAATTATAGTTTCAGAACAACCTCAACAAATATTTCTTGGCTACAGAAGTCTATAGTATTTTTCTTACGAACATGGGTAGAATTCTAGCCTATATGGTTGTTTGGCTGTTATTTATTTCCTTCCTTATATTAGTAGTTTTAATTTTCAGTTAGTATGTCTTGCCTGCCCTAGACATCATAATCAGAGTACAAGGTTCATCATAAAATCAACTCGCCATTGTTCTTCACCTTCAACTCCAAATGAGTCTCTTAAACATAATGTGTTAATGAATGCAGTGAACCAACTTTGAGTGAAGCACACTGTTTTATTATGGTAAAACATCTTTGAGGTAGACATTTAATTCAAGTAAAATGAACTGTGCTTTTACTATATATAAACATGATACAAAGCACCCTAGGCCGCAGACTTCACCTGGAACTGTCAGCCCAGCCCCGAAGCTTCAGCCCATCCCTGGCTTGAAGGTGGGGCTTCACCCAGGACGGCCCCTTCCCACCCAGGAACCGGCCTGCCTCCTGCTGCTATCCATCATGTGGTCCATTGGGTCAAGGCCGTTCATGCCGAGGGCCACCTGCAGGCTGGCACTACGCTGCCGTCCTCAGTCCCCCTCAGCCTCCCTTCTGTGCTTGTTGGTGCCCAAAGTCCATAGGGGGCTGAGGCATGGGGGGCGGGAGGCTGGCGTGTCAGCACCACCCCCAAGCACACGGACACCCAGCCAGGTTGCCGCAACACCCAAGCTTGGCTTCAACTTTGCTCCAAAATTGGACTGGGCGCCAAGAGCAGGGAGAGGCCAAGCAGTGGAAACAGGCGCTTCCGAGCCTGCAGGGGCAGGTGGACTTCCCGGGCCCCTAAGAGCACAGAATGCTGGGTCCGCAGCTGCAGCTGAGTGGCAACTGACTGCCAACTCAGAAGGGGGCGGGACTCTCGCCTGTTCCTGGCTCCCACTTGCTTCACAGAGCATGCAGGCCCAGCTGCGCCTCCCATGCTGGAGCTGGCATCCTGCAGTGGATGCACCAGAAGGGCCGCCGCTGCCTTCACTACCTTCTGCATGCTTTGGGCATGAAAAAGGTCTTTAAGGTGAGTGTCAACAATTGGCAAACTATGCCCAAATCTGGTCTGCTGCCTACTTTTTGTAAATAAAGTTTTATTGGAACTTGGTCATGGACATTTATTTATGTATTGTCTATGTCTTCTTTTGTACTAAAATGGCAGTTGAGTAGCTGTGATTGAGACCATGTGACTTAATAAGGCTTACATATTTAACATCTGAACCTATACAGAAAAATTTGCTAATGCTTAACTTTAGTTACTGATTTAAGACTTTTCTTCTTTTCTAATAAAGATTTAATGCTATTATTTTACTCCAATTACTGCTAAACTGCATCCCTCAAATTTTGGCATGGGCATTTATATTTTTATTCAGTTCAATTTTTTTGTTTTTTTAATATTTCTTTTTAAGTCATTTTATTTGAAGTTTTTAAAATTTTAAAATATGTGTGGGTTTTTCAAGATCTGTCTATTACCATTTTCGAGTTTAATTTCATCGTTGTCGGAAAACATAATTTGTCTGACAAACCTTTTAAAATTTGTTGAGGTTTGTCTTGTGTCTCAAAATATGATTTATCTTGGCAAATATTCTATCTTTTGCACTTGATGGAATTCAGGTCTGCTGTTTTTTTGTATAGTGTTCTACAAATATTTAAAAATGTCAATAACCTCAAGTTTGTTGATAGTGTTATCCAAGTCTACTATATTTTTGCTGATTTTCTGACAGCATAGTCTGTCAATTTTTGAGAAAGAAGTATTTGTTAACTGTGAATTTGTCTAAATCTTCTGCAGTTCCATTAAGTTTTTATGTATTTTTAAGTAATGTTATTAAAGGTGTAGGTGTTTACAATTGTTATGTCCTTTTGATTAGTTGAAACCTTTATTGTTATGAAATGACTTTTATACCTGGTCATATTATTTTTACTCTGAAACATACTTTGATATTAAAATGTAAGTTATTTTATACTTGTACTTTAACATCTCTATATCATTATATTTAAGGTATATGCATTGCTTTTATTTTTAAATCTAATCTAATAATATATTTTATTTGAAGTTTTAGACCATTTGTATTAAATATAACATTGAAATATTGGATTTAGCTTTGTTTTCTGTTTGTATCCTTGGTATTTTGCTCTCTTTTCTGCCTTTTGTTTGATTATTTGGATATTTTTCATAAACAATTTTAACTATCTACCGACTTTTACAATATCTCTTTGTATAATTTTTTAATGAATGTACTAGGGATTGAAATACACATAAGTAATCTTCCACAGAGTTAACGTTTTACTACTTTACATAAAATATAGAAGAGTTACAATGATATTATTCATTTTACTACCTCCTCTTTATGTTATAGTTGTCATAAGCATTGTATCTACATACATTTTAAACCTCCCCCTATTTGATGGTATAATTTATGCTTTAAATTGTTCTACATATTTTAATAAACACTTCTGGAAAGAAATAATCCACCACATCTGTTCAATATTTATCATTTCCTTCATTATTGATGTTTCTTTCTGGTAACATTTCCATTTTGGTTGAAGAACCTTCATCAGCACTTCATTAAAGCATGTCTCCCAAAAATTTTTCATCCTTAAAAAATACCTTTGTTCTACTTTTCTAAGTAAAGGATCTTTCTTCTGTATATAGAATTCTGGGTTGACATTCTTATATGTCAGCCATTTGAACATATTATTTCACTGTCTTCTGGCCTTTGTGGTTTCCGATGAGAAATTGCAGATTTTCATGTCATTGTTGTCTTATTTTTAATGTCTTGTTTCTCTCAGGGTATTTTCAAAGTTTATTTGATTTTTCAGCAACTTAGTTACACTCTGTATGAGCATAGTCTTTCTGAATTTTTCTTCTTTGGCATTCACCAAGAAGTAAATCTGTAAATTGTGTCTTCCACCAGGTTTTGGAAATATTAGGCCAGGTTTTGCTCAGGTTTTGTTGTTTGTTTTTCTGCCTTATTCTTTTTCTCCTCTTCATCTAGTTTTTCAAAGTCACAAATACTATACATTTTATGCTGTCCCATTGGCTCCTGAAGCTTCATTTATGCTTCTTTTTCATGCATTTTCTTTCTAATCTTCAGATTTGATAATTCCTATTAATCTTTCTTTGAGTTCACTGACATTTCACTGTGATCATCATTCTGATATGGTCCTCATTCAATAATTCTTTACAAATATTAGATTTCTTTTTAGTTCTAAAGTTACCATTTGTGTTTTATAGTTTCTAACCCTCTGCTGAGAACTTCTGTTCTTCCATTTATTTTAAGATTATTACTTTTATCTCAAGGAATATGGTTATTATAGCTGCTTTAAGACTTCATTGATAATTTCAACATCTTATTTATCTTGGGGTTGGGGTTGGTACTAGTTATAGCTTTTCCTCTTGCTAATAACTTTGAAATAAATAACATTTTTCTTGTTCTTTAGACCTTGAGTAAATTTTAAAACTATGTTGTGAGATTATTGGTCCTGCTAAATTCTCTGGAGAACTGCTGTGGGGTTTCCTGGTTTTGTTTAGCAGGAAATCAACATTGTTCAACTCAGACTGCATACACTGTTTTGATGTTTTGCTATTTGTGTTTCCAATAACTTTACAGTTTTTAAAGTTTTTCCTGTGCTGCTTTCTGTGTGTCCCATACTTGTTCCACTCAGGATTAATCTGAGATATTGCCAGTAGTCTATGACATAGTTCAGTTCTCCAAGCCTTTGCTATGCTGCTTTGGCCTTGTGTGTCGTTTTACTTAATCTTCAAATCTGTTCCATGGAGTAGGTATTAATAGTCTCACTTTAGAGGTAATAAAAATGAGGCTTAGAAATGTTAAATTACTTGCCCAAAATTTCTCATCAAGTAAGTGATTGATACAAGATGGAACTCAAATCTGACTCTGTGAATACTCATCGCTTCTACACTATTACCCCAAAATTTCTTTCTCTCTTTGTGCTTCGTTAAAAAAATTGATTAAGATTTGCATACTAATACATACTTCCCTTATTTTCAAGATTTTCTAGTTTATAATTCTATTCTCTACTTCAGTATTGTAAGCCTTTTGAGAAACTGTGTCAAGTCCTAGAAAGTATATATAATGTTTATGTGTAGTCAACTCTGAAATTAAATTGCATAGGTTCAAATCTGTTTTATATCACTTCTTGCTATGTGATCCTGGACAAATGACTTACCTAAATCTCAGTCTTCATGTGTGTGAAGAAACAGGCTTCTAATAGAGTGTCTGATGTAGAATGGAAAGGAATAGGTAAAAGCTAATCACCACTAGTACAGAGTTTGGTATGTGTAGGAATGTAATTTATGATTTGTGAGTGACTAAATGAATAAACTATAAAATGCCAGAGTGATTTGTTCAAACATATACTGGCCTATAAGGTATATTCTATTTAACACTTTAATTCCATGCAGTGATTTGCAATAAAATACATTTATTCCCCCACAAAATTACAATAAAATAAATTAGGACTTTTTTTCTTTTAGTCTGAATTCATAAATTAAACAAGAAATTCCATCCTAATACTGTATGTTTACACAGTATGTTTTATTATCTCAAATTATGTTATTTACTTTTATTCTTTATTTTTATTCATTCAGATTGTAGTTAATTAAATTCAGCCTTTAGTGCATTCAAATTATTTACACATATCAAATATTCAAATGTTACAAAAGGTAAAATGCTTTAGCTTTGAAAACACTCCTAAAATAGTTTCTAAAATACTTCAAAACACATCAAGGAAAAGCAAAAATCTTCTCCGCTCATGTATATTGACATACAAAATATTCATGTAGTGTATAATTCTTAGATGTTTCTGAAAAAGCCAATAAAACTTTATTTACTTACATTATGCCTATGTATGTGTGGTTCCATGGAATACTAACTTTTTTTTGTTGTTTGTTTGTTTGTTTGTTTGTTTGTTTTTGAGATGGAGTCTCACTCTGGCACCCAAACTGGAGTGCAGTGGGACGATCTTGGCTCACTGCAACCTCTGCCTCCCAGGTTCAAGCAATTCTCATGTCTCAGCCTCTCCAGTAGCTGGGACTACATGTCATACTAACTTTAATCTAGAAATGGATCTTTATAAAAGCTTATGTGAGAATTTATTTGTTACATATTTTCTGGGCTTTTTAAGACATAATTTCCTGTCCTTTTATTGGTTTCCTTTTTGCATTCAGCAGAACAAATGATAACTACTTTCCAATAAATACCAAGTTTCACTTGTGTCTTAATTCTATCATACCAATATTACCTCATTCAACCCAGTCAGACTTATTTAAACAGATATGGGCTCTAAAAATGACAAGCCTCTTGTTAATCTCCTCTACATATTTACCTTTACTAAATATGCACTTTCAATAACCCTTGATTAAAATTAAAAAGTGATCATTTTACATTTTAAAATACTGTGTTTTCACAGTATTGTTCCTACCCAACCATGAGCATGGGATGTGTTTCCATTTCTTTGTGTCATCTATGATTACATTCAGAAGTGTTTTGTAGTTTTCTTGTAGAAGTCTATCACCTTTTTGGTTAAGTATATTTCTAAGTATTTTATTTATTTTGCAGCTGTTGTAAAAGAAGTTGAGTTCTTGATTTGATTCTTAGCTTGGTGGCTGTTGGTGTATAGCAGGCCTACTGATTTGTGTACACTAATTTTGTATCCTGAAACTTTGCTGAATCCATTTACCAGTTCAGGGAGCTTTTTGGATGAGGATTTAGGGTTTTCTAGGTATTACAATCATGTCATAATCAAAGAGGGGCAGTTTTTCTTCCTCATTAGCAATTTGGATGCCCTTTATTTCTTTCTCTTGTCTGATTGCTCTGGGGAAGAACAGCAGTTGTGAAAGTAGGTATCCTTGTCTTGTTCCAGTGCTTGCAGCGGGGAATGCTTTTAAATTTTTCCCCTTCAGTATAATGTTGGCTGTGGGTTTGTCATAGATGGCTTTTATTACCTGGAGGTATGTCTCCTCTATACCAATTTTGCTAAGGGCTAATCATAAATAGATGCTGGTTGACCATACTGCCAAAAGCAATCTACAAATTCAGTGCAATTCCCATAAAAATACCACCATCATTCTTCACAGAACTAGGAAAAAAAATCCTAAAATTCATATGGAATAAAACAAGAGCCCACATACCCAAAGCAAGACTAAAAAAAGAACAAATCTGGAACCATTACATTACTGGAGTTCTAACTATACAATAAAGCCATAGGCACCAAAACAGCATGGTACCGATATGTAAATAGACATATAGACCAATTGAACAGAATAGAGAATCTCAAAACAAAGCCAAATACTAACAGTCAACTGATCTTCAACAAAGCAAACAAAAACATAAAGTGGGTAAGCGACATCCTATTCAACAAATGGTGCTGGGATGATTGGTAAGCCATGTATAGAAGAATGAAATTGGATCCTTATCTCTCACACTATACAGAAATCAACTCAAGATAGATCAGAAACTTAAATCTAAGACAGGAAATCATAAAAATTATAGAAGATAACATTGGAAAAACCCTTCTAGACATTGGCTTAGGGAAAGACTTCATGACTGTGAACCAAAAGCAAATGCAACAAAAGCATAGATAAATAGATGGGACTTAATTAAACTGAAAAGCTTCTGCACAGCAAAAGAAATAATCAGCAGAATAAACAGGCAACCCACAGAGTGGGAGAAAATCTTTGTAATCTATGTATCTGACAAAAGACTGATATCCAGAATCTACAAACAACTCAAACAAATCAGCAAGAAAAACAAACAATCCCATCAAAAAGTGGGCTAAGGACATGAATAGACAATTCTCAAAAGAAGATATACAAATGGCCAACAAATGTTAAAAAAATGCTTAACATCACTAATGATCAGGGAAATGCAAATCAAAACCATAATGCGATACTACCTCACTCCTGCAAGAATGGCCATAAATAAAAAAATCAAAAAATAATAGATGCTGGTGTGGATGTGGTAAAAAGGGAACACTTTACACTGTTGGTGGGAATGTAAACTAGTATAACCACTATGGAAAACAGTGTGGAGATTCCTTAAGTAATTGAAAGTAGATCTACCATTTGATCCAGCAATCCCACTCCTGGGTATCTACCCAGTGGAAAAGAAGTTACTATATGAAAAAGATAACTACACACCCATGTTTATACCAGCAGAATTCACAATTGCAAAAATATGGTACCAGCCTACATGCCCATCAAGCAATGAGTGGATAAAGGCAATGTCATATATATGTGACATATATATATATATATATATATATATATATATAAATAATATATGCACACACACACACACACACCACGGAATACTATTCAGCCATAAAAAGAAAGAAAATAATGGCATTTACAGCAACCTGGATGGAATTGGAGACCATTATTCTAAGTGAAGTAACTCAGAAATGGAAAATCAAACATCGCATGTTTTCACTCATAGTGGGAACTAAGCTACGAGGATGCAAAGGCTTAAAAATGATACAATGGACTTTCAGGACTCAAGGGAAAGGGTTGGCTACGCATTGGGAACAGTGTACACTGCTCGGGTGATGGGTGCAGAATCTCAGAAATCGCCACAAAACAACTTATTTATGTAAACAAACTACCTGTTCCCAAAAAAACTATTGAAATTAAAAAAAAAACCAATGTTTTACAAATTTTATTTGTTAAGCACATACCTCAAAGAAGAAATGAGTGTAAAAAGTCTTGGGCATATTATCTTCATTTACTTCTTATAAGTCACCTTAATTTGAAGGAAACCTACAGAAATTCATTTTTTGAATATCATCATTTTGTCCAGTGATTTGAACCTGTCCTGGCAGCCTTTTTACTGTTTCCCACAGTTAATTTTAATATGTTTAGGTTACTGCCATGTGACCTGTGAAATGGTACCAGTCAAAAGGTTTGTGTTAGTTCAGAGAGCCTGAGAGTAAAGTTCTCTACAAAACAACCATTAATACACAACCTTAGAGTTCTTCATTTAGAAAATGTGAAGAACAAATGTTTCTTTTTGTATTCCTCAAGGAATAGCACACTACTCATACACCACTGTTAAGTCCTCACTATGTGCTAAGTATTGTGCTAAATGCTTAAAGTTTCATATTATTAAATTGTTTTGCTTACTTAAAATAATTATATGGCTGGGCGTGGTGGCTCATGCCAGTAATCCCAGCACTTTGGGAGACCAAGGAGGGCAGATCACAAGGTCAGGAGATAGAAACAATCCTGGCTAACACGGTGAAACGCCATCTCTACTAAAAATACAAAAAGTTAGCCGGGCATGGTGGTGCGTGCCTGTAGTCCCAGCTACTTGGGAGGCTGAGGCAGAAGAATCGCTTGAACCCAGGAGACAGAGGTTGCAGTGAGCCGAGATCATGTCACTGCACTCCAAACTGGGTGACAGAGCAAGACTCCGTCTCAAAAAAAGAAAAAAAAAAAGAATTATACAATGCATGTATTAAGAAAAAAATGAGATAATTTCCCTGTTACCATCTTCAACACATAGTCTCAAATCTGAGAGGACACCATCATTTTATTTTTGTAGTTTTTTATTTTATTTTCAAACTTACAAAGAAGATTCAAAAATAGCACAAGGAAATTCCAGGTATCCTTCACTCAGATTCATCAATTCTAACTCTTTGCAACATCGATATTTTATTATTCTCTATGTATATATTTATACAAAGATAATATTCTTTTTTAACTATTTGATATTAATTTCAGGATATTGTATCCTTTTACATCTTAATATACTACTTTACATGTATTTCTTATCAGCAACATATTCTGATATAGAGGTACAATACAATTATCAAAATCTAGAAATTTAACATCAATGCAGTATTATCAAATTCACAGTGCACATTCTCAAAGTATCTACCTACAAATTTCTTATTACTTACAATAGGGAGTGATTTCACAGTTGAAAACCTTAATTTTTACCACCCTAAATAAGTGATTAAAGTTACAATCAATAATATTGCAACAAATTGTGCACAAATTTAACATTACTTACTTCCTAAAATGATGACATAGTATTTCTGGGGAAATTCTGCTAAAAATGGTACCTGAATCTAAATATGAGGACACATCAAATAAACCAAAATTAGGAGTCATTCTGCTTAATATCTTGCTGTATTCCTCAAACATAAAGCGGTTAAGAAGACAAAAGGTAGTGACAAATTGTTCCACATAAAATACTTCTTTTTAATATTTTAAGTAGTAATTCTTATAAGTACAAATATGATATTTAGTTTTCTCTTCATTTATCAGTATATTATTGATGTCTTCATCCCTTATTTTGTTTTGACAAACTTTGCTTCTTTTATTTACTATCTTTATTAGTGTATAAATAACACTTTACATACTTGTCTTGATTTATGTAAATGTTAAAGATTACATTGATTCTCAAATATGAAAGAGGGAGATATTTAAAATATTACTTCTTTCTGTTTGTACTATATTATTATTACTATTATTTTACTTTTTAAATACAGGTTACAACATTTACATTCTGTGCTTTACCTATAATTAAGTTCATCAGGATTTTTCTATATGTTACATTTGAAAATTAAAAATGGATAAGTAGCATTTACTTTATTAGAATTATAAAAATATTATTAATTGTAAAGGCTAATTAGATTAATTGGATCAACTACCATCTGCCTTTTTTCTGGGAATTTCTCCAAACTTTTGTATTTTCTTATTTTTTTGTGCTTCATGATTTTTTACATTTACTTACTTAGTTCTTTTTACGTATTTTCTATGACTTCAACGTGACCTTTTACAAATGGAAGTTATTTATAAGTCTGCCAGTTTAAACCAGAATCCCTCTCTATATATTATGCTATTTAATTTTTAGAATTTTTTCAAAATCTCAGTAATTCATCTGCAAAGAAGCAAAAACTTAGGCTATGATATTGTTTATAACATGGTTTCTATTTTGCCTTTATAACTCTAATACTTTTATTAATGTACCCTGCCTGATAATGTAATACAAAAAAGAAAATCAGAACGTAATTTAAAATTTATTCATTTGATATATTTTTTATAAAAAATAATGATTCAAGTAAAATCCCTATA
Organism: Homo sapiens; assembly: GCF_000001405.40. NCBI lineage: Eukaryota > Metazoa > Chordata > Mammalia > Primates > Hominidae > Homo > Homo sapiens. The sequence goes on along the minus strand of NC_000004.12, from coordinate 134,234,912 downwards.
AGGTATCTAAAATGCTAAGGAGTATGTTGCTGACATTGGGTCTAATGTTCTTCATTAAGTCTACAAATTTGGTCAACTTCTTATTTTTCAGCTGTTGCAGACACTAACTCTATCTCTGTTTCCCCCTCAACTTGTTCTCATCAATTCCTAAAGTATTTAAGATTTTCTACTAGAAGGAGAACCAGCAAGTGAGAAAGTTAGAAAAAGAAATGAGAGAGCAATGTAGGGAGGGAGTGAGGGAAGGCAGGGTAAACAGATAGATAATTAGGAAAATAGTAAATAGGCACAGATCTGTATGTCCAGTGGTTCACCACCACTCCATTAAGCTGTTCAGCTTTAATACAGATTTAATGTGATGGATGATGGCACCCATCCAAAACTCGAAAAGACTTAATGATGATTTAAATTTTTTTATATATTATAGACATTCTTTAAAAAATTAATGATAGTGACAATACTTCCTTGGCAATATTGTTCTAAATTTTTTTTTATCTCTAATAGAGATTCATTGGGATAATGATTAAACCAGAAGAAGAATTAACATCATGCAGAGATAGATATTTTTATACCTTTTGATGGTAACAGTTCATTTGTCGGAGAATCATCACATCTTGTTAAATAGAAACATGAAGTAAATACTGGATGGACGTTTTATTATGCTTGTAGGAATATCCGTGAATACTGAATAATAGGGAGATGTCCTAGACCAGGTATTTATCATCACCTCCATCTGCTCGGTAATGCTGGAGCGTTGACTTTCTGTTAGGTTTTGCCAGTAAATGGCTCTCAAAAAAGAAAGCTGAGAAGGAGAGAAGGGACTTTCTCCTTTCCACTTAATGTTCCTCTTAGTGTTGCCCAGGCATTAGCAATTAGAGTCTAACTTATTTTGGTACTCCTAGAAGCACCCTATCCTGTCTTTTCAGAGATACCAACAGTTGGATAGCATCCTATCCTCAGAAGTCTGAGCCTCAAGCCCATAGGGATTGTTCAAATAGTTTTTTCTCCATTTGTATAAAGTTATTCAAAGAGCAATAATTAATTATTTTTAATGTTTCATATTACATATATTTTTCAAACAGTAATAACCCAGCACCTACATTCCCTTAGCAATACCATATCTATATTCTTTGAGTAATTTGACTCCAAATTAGTTATTTAACTCAATATAACAATTTAAAGCCAGTTCAAGAGTTCAAGACCAGCCTGGCCAATATGGTGAAACCCCCTCTCTACTAAAAATAATAAAAAAAAATTAGCCGGGGATGGTGGCGGGTATCTGTAATCCCAGCTACGGGGAAGGCTGAGGCAGGAGAATTGCTTGAACCTGGGAGGTGGAGGTTGCAGTGAGCCGAGATCACACCATTGCACTCCAGCCTGGGCAACAAGAGTGAAACTCCATCTCAAAAAAAAATGAAAAAGATTTAAAGCCAGTTCTTCAAAGGTAGAACATTGTATGGAGACAAACAGTTAAGTTATGAAAACCAAGGTCAAACCTCTGAATTGAATTGCATCTTAAATCTGTAGCAAGAATGGTTTGAACATTGATCGCTCTCATTCCGGGTCATCTTGAAAATTCACATATTATTGAAATATTTCTATGGAAGGTAAATGAACAAATAAGTTCAGAGAATTATGTTTCTGAAATTCTGAATTGAAACTTCCTGGAACAAAGGAAAACTTACTATAAAACAACATTTCTGGCCTATTTTATCTAATATAATTCCCTATCAACTATACTACAACCAGAATATTTATTTATATATAATTTTGAGTAGATTGCTCTGTAAGGTAGTCATTTTACAAAGATGTAAGCATTGTTTGGCGATATTTTAGTTAATCTATTTGTGATATATTGTATGCTGTTTTTCTTTCTGTGAAAACATTGTTAAATAAAATCTTAAGTGAAAAAAATCACTAGAACCACTTTAAAAATTGAAAATATACACTATTACTTGAATCAATAAACTGGCTCTATTTACAGAATAAAATAAATATTTTCTATGCTTCCTAAAACTTCTACTCAAACTACTTAGTAAATCATATATAAGGACCTATAACATAATTGATTCTAGAAAAAAATGTGTAAACAAGTACTTAAAGCAGTTGTACAAAGTAAAGTTGATTGAATTTTGAAGCACTAGGTTGGTTGTGTAAAGCATAAAAATCTCCTCTAAAAGCAATCTAAACTCCTTAAAATTGGAAACATATTTAATCAACTATACTTTATACCATTCCACAAAAAATATGATGTGGTTTACAAAAAATGTACACAATAGAAAAATATGAAGTTTCTGATGAGTCAAAATAAATAAATCCAGTAAACCAAGAGGTAAAGTTAGCACCTAAGGATTCATGGCTTAAGGTCCCATATGGTTTGCTAGAGATAAGGTGCTTATTTTATTGAATTTTCTGATTCTTGAACCTTGTTTTCCTTTTAGTGTTATCTGAGCATATCACCTCCTTATTCCAATTAATCTGAAAATTATGTTTTATGTTGTCTGAAACAGATACCCTACTTTTACAGAAATTGCTTGCTAGTTGTAAAACACCATTGGCTCCTATGTACTACACAGTTTATTAGAATATAAAAAACTAAACCAGTAATTATTTGGTGTTTTAGAAGAGTTTCCACACTTTAAGTTAGCATGGAGTGATGTTAGACTATGTAAATAGTTGATATTAAAATTGTAAGGATATTTTATTTTCTGGCTTGCCTTTTTTCTCTTTGATCACAAATCAACCTAAGAAAAATGTGGGTAAAATTTTGAAAATAAATATATTTGAATATTATCCAAAATATATTGAATAATACCTTCTTCCCATCCCCTCCCTCAGTCCAACAAATCAAAATGTCAGCTTCATAACACATTTTTAAAGTTTTAAGAATAAATAATAAAAAGATCACTCTCCCAATGTTATATTGCTCTCTCACTTAATAAAATACTAAATTCTGAAATTTGATTTTTATTTTATATTCAGCATGGAGGAAAAGAAAAGGAGGGCGAATATTTAGATACATTATATAGAGGCAGAATTATGTGAGTATTCAAGAATCAATACCTCTCTCCTTTAAAGTTTTTACAAACTAAAACTGAATACTAGGGCAGAATATTGAAAATATGCAGGTTAATGACATTAATACACAATGTAAGAGCTCAATAACACTAAAAGTACAAGGGCTTTCCGTTATAGCTAAACTGGAGAATGCAGTTTGGATTCTACTCAAAAGAAGAACTTCCTTCAATGTATATGTTCTCCTACCAAATCGTCAAACCCAAATGAATGAAATTATGGAATTATCTTCTTGGAAAATGTTGGGCCTGAATAGCAGACACTTGCCTAGACAACTATATGAAGGATTTCAGCAGCTAACAAAAGTAACACAGCAGAAAGCACAGAAAAGGAAAGAAGAAGCCTGGTGGGTTCCTGTCAGAGTCCTAGGAGGCTCCAAAGACTTGATGCATACAATTTCTGGTGGTACTGTAGAGCAAGAAACAGAGTCAGGGCTGTTTCTGCTGTTCAGACAAATTGTAAATTAGTGTCCATAGGTATGCACACTATTCATGTAGCGATACGCGCACTACATAGCATGGGTATGACTCAGTGGATATCAGTGTCTTGACAATTCCACAATCAGATAAATAATTTCTCTTTGCATAAGAGGAAATAAAGGAGAGTGTGGAAAAGGAATAGAGAATACCAAGCCTGACATGGCACCCCCCTGAAGAATGGCGTCTACTCCCCCTACTCCAAACGATAAAGGTGATAATTGTTCCCCACCCCTACCCCCACTTACAACAGCATGATGCTCTAATCAATTAAGTGTTGTTATGGAGAAAATGCTACTTTAAATTCTTTTCAATATTAATATGTTATCTTAACCAAAAAAAAAAAGAGAAAATCCAAATAAGCTCAACTAAAAATGAAACAGGAGATATTACAACTGACACCACAGAAATACAAAAGATTATTCAAGGCTACTATGAAAACCTTTACACACATAAACTAGAAAACCTAGAGGAGATGGATAAATTCCTGGAAAGATGCCAGCCTCCTAGCTTAAATCAGGAAGAATTAGATATCCTGAACAGACGAATAACAAACAGCAAGATTGAAATGCTAATAAAAAAAAAATTACCAACAACAACAAAAAGCCCAGGAATCATCGATAAATTCACACCTGAATTCTGCCAGACATTCAAAGAAGAACTGGTACCAATTCTATTGACACTGTTCCACAAGATAGAGAAACAGGGAATCCTCCCTTAATCATTCTATGAAGACAGTATCACCCTAATACCAAAACCAGGAAAGAACATAACCAAAAAAGAAAGCTACAGACCAATATCCTCGATGAACATAGATGCAAAAATCCTTAATAAGATACTAGCTAACGAAATCCAACAACATAACAACAAGATAATCTACCATGATCAACTGGGTTTCAGACCAGGGGTGCAGGGATGGTTTAACATAAGCAAGTCAGTAAATGTGATACACCACGTAAACAGAATTAAAAACCAAAATCACATGATCATCTCAGTAGATGCAAAAAAGGATTTGACAGAATCTCTTTGTGATTAAAACTCTCAGCAAAATTGGCATACAAGGGACATACCTCAATGTAACAAAAGCCACCTATAACAAACCTACAGCCAACATTATACTCAACAAGGAAAAGTTGAAAGCATTCTCTCTGAGAACCAGAATAAGACAAGGGTGCCCACTTGCACCACTTCTATTCAACATAGTACTAGAAGTCCTAGCCAGGGCAATCAGACAAGAGAAAGAAACAAGGGCCTTCCAAATTGGTAAAGAGGAAGTCCAGCTGTTGCTGTTTGCAGATGATATGGTTGTATACCTAGAAAACCCTAAAGACTCCTCCAAAAAGCTCCTAGAACTGATTAAAGAAATCAGCAAAGTTTCTAGATACAAAATTAATGTACACAAATCAGTAGCTTGTCTATACGCCAACAGTGACCAAGCTGAGAATCAAATCAAGAACTCAACTCTTTTTACAATAGCTGAAAAAAAAAATACTTAGGAATATACCTAACCAAGGAGGTGAAAGACCACTACAAGGAAAACTATAAAACACTGCTGAAAGTAACCATAGATGACACAAACAAGTGGAAACCCATTCCATGCTCAAGGATGGGTAGAATCAATGTTGTGAAAATGACCATACTGCCAAAAGCGATCTACAAATTTAATGCAATTCCCATCAAAATGCCACGATAATTCTTCACAGAACTACAAAAAACAATTCTAAAACTTATGTGGAACCAAAAAAGAGTCCACATCGCCAAAGCAAGACTAAGCAAAAAGAACAGGCCAGGTGCAGTGGCTCACACCTGTAATCCCAGCACTTTGGGAGGCCGAGGTGGGCAGGTCACAAAGTCAGGAGATTGAGACCATCCTGGCTAACATGGTGAAACCCCGTCTCTACTAAACAACAACAACAACAGCAACAAAAAAATTAGCCAGGCATGGTGGCGGGTGCCTGTAGTCCCAGCTACTCGGGAGGCTGAGGCAGGAGAATGGTGTGAACCAGGGAGGCGGAACAAATCTGGAGGCATCACATTACCTGATTTCAAACTATACTATAAGGCTACAGTCACCAAAGCAGCATGGTACTGGTATACAAAAAGGCACATAGACCAATGGAACAGAATAGAGAACCCAGAAATAAACCCAAATTCTTACAGCCAACTGACCTTCAACAAAGCTAACAAAAACATAAAGTGAGGAAAGGACACCCTATTCAATAAATGTTGCTGGAGTAACTGGCTAGCCACATGTAGAAGAATGAAACTGGATCCTCATCTCTCACCTTATAAAAAATTCAAGTCAAGATGGCTCAAGGACTTAAATCTAAGACCTGAAACTATAAAAATTCTAGAAGATAACATCGGAAAAACCTTTTAGACATTGACTTAGGCATGGATTTCATGACCAAGAACCCAAAAGCAAATGCAATAAAAACAAAGATAAATAGCTAGGCAATTTGAAAGAAAACACTTAAAAAAACCTTAATCTTTACTTATTTAAAATAAAACCTGACATTTTAAAAAATGTCATTCAATTTTAAAATTGTATTCAAATACTAAATAGAAACTCTAAAGTATTATATTTTAATAAACATGCTTATTTTAGCAAGCATATTCCAAATCAGAATGTTAACTTTTTAAACTGATGTTGACAAAAGCATCCTATCTTGAACTTCATTTTGTAATTAGCTGTGTAGTTAGAAAATGTATATGCAGACTGCTATCACACCACAATAAAAGCATAAGCATCATAGGACCTGGATTCTTTGTTCTGTAAAACTCTAGCTAAGCAATGTAAAGAAAGGCATAAAAAATTTGGGCTTAAGTTTTATTATTATTTTCACATAGTTTTGTTTTAATTAAAAAAAAAAAAACAAGATGCAGATATTCTTTGACTTAGTTCCAGTTCTGACACTTGGATTGGCATGTGATCATTATTACACAGTGTTTCATGGCTTAATTTTTTCAAGTATATAAAAAAGTATAAAATAAAAATAAAACTGTCCTCTTTCTAGACTTATATATAGACTTATTTATACCAACACTTTATTCCTAGTATTACAACAGAGGTATGGATCTGAAATGCATTTTCTTTTTTTTTTTTTTTTTTTGAGACGGAGTCTCGCTCTGTCGCCCAGGCTGGAGTGCAGTGGCGGGATCTCGGCTCACTGCAAGCTCCGCCTCCCGGGTTCACGCCATTCTCCTGCCTCAGCCTCCCAAGTAGCTGGGACTACAGGCGCCCGCCACTACGCCCGGCTAATTTTTTGTATTTTTAGTAGAGACGGGGTTTCACCGTTTTAGCCGGGATGGTCTCAATCTCCTGACCTCGTGATCCGCCCGCCTCGGCCTCCCAAAGTGCTGGGATTACAGGCGTGAGCCACCGCGCCGGGCCTGCATTTTCTTTTTACTTACTAATAAAATGTGTATTTTTCCTTATCTATCATATGAATGGATCATGTTTCATGCAAACATCCTTTTATTTGCAGATATCTTAGTTATTTCTAATTGTTTAATAGTATAAATTAAGCAGGAATGAATATTCTTATCAAATAGTTTTCACAAGATTTTCAAAAATTGTTTTTCATGAAAATGTATAATCTAGCTATTGATATACGGAATTGCTCAGTTGGCCATATTCTTCCCATAACTAGACAAGGTGAGATTTTCAAAGCTGTGCAAGTCTTATTAGAAGAAGTGACATCTCATTGTAGTTTGTTCTCTACTTTTTACTGTTGAAAAGTTTAATCATACCTAAAAGTAATCAAATAATAAAATGAAATTTTATAGATCTAACACCTGAATTCGAGTTATTTTGCCATATTATTTTTATTTTTAAAGCATTTGAAAGTTAGTGCAAATTTATAGAACTTCATCTACAAATATTTCAATATAACGTTATAATAATCAGGATTTGATCTCAGTTCAATTACAAGAGAAAATGAACAATTACACCATTTTTTTAATAATTTCAACTTATTTTAAATTCATAGGGTACATGTGCTTGTTTGTTAAATGCATATATTGTGTAATGCTGAGCTTTGGAGTACGATTGACACCATTACTCTGGTAGTGAGCACAGTACCCAACACTTAATTTTTCATCACTTGCCTCCCTCCTTTCCTCCTTTTCTAGCACTCTCCAGTGTCTAGTGTGGTCATCTTAATGTCCATTTTTACCAATATTTAGCCCTAACTTATAAATTAGAACATGCAGTATTTGGTTTCTGTTCCTGCATTAATTTGCTTACAATAATGTCCTCCAGATGCATCCATGTTACTGCAAAGGACATGCTTTGGTTCTTTTTTATTGCTGCATAGTAATCCATGGTGTATATGGACCACATTTTCTTCATTCAATCCACTCTTGATGGGCACCTAGGTTGATTCCTTGTCTTTGCTATTGCAAATACTGCAGCAATGAACATATGCACACATGTGTCTTTGTGGTAGAATGATCTATATTCTTCTGGGTATATGCCCAGTAATGGGATTGCTGGTTCAAGTGGTAGTTCTGCTTTTAGCTCTTTGAGGAATCACCATACTGCTTTCCACAGTGGCTGAACTAATTACATTCCCATCAACAGTGTATAAGTGTTCCCGTTTCTCTGCAGCCTCACCAGCATCTGTTGTTTTCTGACTTTTTAATAGTAGCCATTCTAACTGGTATAAGATAGTATCTCATTGTAGTATTGATTTGCATTTCTCTCATGATTAGTGATATGAAGCATTTTTTCTATGTTTATTGGTCACTTCTATGTCTTCTTTTGAGAAGTGTTTGTTCATGTCTTTTGCCTACTTGTCTTTACAGAATTGCTCAGGGTTACTTGTTTTTTGCTTGTTGAATTGTTTAAGCTACTTATACATTCTGGATATTAGACCTTTGTTGTATGCATAGTTTGTGAATATTTCCTCCCATTTTGTAGGTTGTCTGTTTACCCTGTTGATAATTTCTTTTGCTATGCAGAAGCTCTTATTTGAATTAGGTCTCACTTGTCAAATTTGGTTTTGTTGCAATTGCTTTTGAGGGCTTGGTCATAAATTCTTTTCCAAGGTTGATGTCCAGAATGGTATTTCCTAGGTTTTCTTCTAGGATTCTTGTAGTTTGTGGTCTTACATTTAACTTTTTAGTTCATCTCATGTTAATTTTTAAATATGATAAAAGAGGGGTTCAGTTTCATTCTTCTGCATATGGCTAGCCAGCTATCCCAGCACCATTTATTGAATAGGGAGTCTTTCCCCATTGCTTATTTTTGTAGACTTTGTCAAAGGTCAGAGGTCTGTAAGTGTGTGGTTTTATTTTGAGGTCCCTGTTCTATTCCATTGGTCTATGTGTTTATTTTTTACTGGTACCATGCTCTTTTGGTTACTGTAACCTTATAGTATAGTTTGAAGTCAAATAATGTGATTCCTTTGGTTTTGTTCTTTTTGCTTAGGATTGCTTTTGCTATTTGGGATCTTTTTTGGTTCTATATGAATTTTAGAATAGCTTTTTCTAATTCCGTGAGAAATGATGATTGTTTGGTAGGAATATTGTTGAATTTCTAGGTTGCTTTGGGCAGTGTGGCAATTTTAATGAGACTGATTTTTCCAATCCATGAGCATGAAATATTTTTCCATTTGTTTGTGTCAAATCTGATTTATTTCAGCAGTGACTGTATTTCTTCTTGTAGAGATCTTTACCTCTTTGGTTATATGTATTCCTAGATTTTTTTTTAATGGCTGTTGTAAATGGCATTGTGTTCTTGAGTTGCCACTCATTTTGAACATTGATAGTCTATAGAAATGCTGCTGATTTTTGTACATTGATTTTTATATCCTTAAACTTTACTGAAGTCATTTTTAATATCAAATCTATATTGAAAATATCTTTTTTTTCCAAAATAATATTTTATAGCTGTATAATTTTAATGAGGGTCCAATGAAAGTTCATGTAACATATTCACCTGTGTGCCTTCTTTGTCTTTTTTGATGGAAAAAAATCCTTTTAGCTTTTACATTTTTAAAATAACATTAACTCTTTGAAAAGTCCTAGCCAGTTTTTCTGTAAAATGCCTCACACAGTGAATTTTAGTAAGTGTTCCCTTGTGATGTCATTCCATGTTCCTTTAAAACTTTATTCTTGTAAAGTAAAAGTTATGCCTCAAGGCTTTACTGGATTCAAGTTAAACATTTTTTGCATAAATATTTCATGTGCAATGATCCCTCTTCATTTTGCAACACAATAGGGAGAGGGACATAATATTGAGTGTCCTTTTATTAGTGCTGTTAGGATTATTCATACTAACCTCCAAACCTCTCTAATTTACAGATACAGTGTTTCACTTTGAATTTATTAAGAGAAGTGTGAGGTCTTACTTTGGAACTGAACATATATTGTTTCCCAACAGCATAAGCTACTCCTTTTAATATTTGTTTGTAATCCTTGCCTGAATCTGTCATTGAAATGCGAATATTCCTTCTGCTTTTATTAGCAGGCATTTTCTGTAATGGAGTGTTTCTCCAACAATGAAGACAATTTACAGTTGGTCCTAAAAGGCAGAGAAATTATTGATTTTTTAAAATTACCAAGTTTCAGGGGGAAAATATTGTAATAATTATCTCTACTGGATGTTTTGTTTCTTTTTGTTGTTGTTGTTGTTCATATTTGTTAGTTGATTGTATTACTGCTCACCAAAACTGATATCTCTCCTTGCTGGAGGATTATATATGTTCTCCCTGTGGAACTCATACAGAGCTATATTATTAGTTTTGGCCAATGAAATATGAGCTAGTGCCATATTTTTTCTCAGCTGAAGGAATCATTATAGAATGATCTAGGTCGAGGCCACTCTGTCAGATTCACCCAAGAATGAAGACAACATAAGACAACTGATTTACAGTGGATATTTTGGGTTATCTGGCCTATTGTTAGTAATACAATATGGACTCATAGATTTTAATAGTTTAGCTTCACTTAATTTCATTCAGTATATATTTATTGATCATATTTAATAAATTAGGAACAAATATGTTTAAAAATACATTTTACTACAGGTAGGAAAAAGGAAAAGAAACCAGAAACAGAAACTTGGGCAGGAGGAATGGAAAATAATGTGTGAAATGCTGCTGGGAGACTGAGGAAAAGTAAAATTGAAAACTGACCATAGAATTTGTGTGATGGAAGTATGAAAGCCTTTAAAAGGCAAAAGGCCAACTGCTACTACCAACTACTACTTTGTTGTAGTGAAGTATTCAGTGCATAGATTTAGGAGAGTGGAAGTGAAGACAGTTTTTACAAACCATCCTGGTTTGAGCATTTTTTTATGAAGTTGAGAATATTTACAATGGCTAGAGTAAGCCCTGTGAAAGGATGGTTTTTTGTTGTTGTTGTTTGTTTGTTTGTTTTTTAATTTAGAAACTTAGACAATGTTGCTGGCAGTATTAGCACATTCGCCAAGTATATACAATTTTCTTTAAGTTTTGACTTGGTTTTCTTACCCTGATAGATGAAAAAAGAACATGTTTCAAGTTTATTTATAAAGTACAATTACTGTGATTTTTCCATCCCCCTGGTCTCCTGACTATGTCCCAATTGTTGTACAGCTTCAATGAAATCCCCATAAATCATCTGGTCCGTCAAGGTCATTTCCACTTTACTCTATCATTGTTTTCCTCACTTCTCCTTCTCCTCTTTCTTCTTAAATTTACTTTCTTACCATTTCTCTCCCTTGTAAAGACAGATATGCACCTTTCATTTTATGTTATTTGTTCTATAAGAAAATAAAAATGGTGGAATTCTGAATAGATTCTTACTCTGCTTGTTAGAGAAATCCAAGTCCTAACTCACTGGTGTGAAGTGTAGCCAGATAATTAGGCTGACATTGATAAAATTACCTCACTGTTTGCTTTCAGTAAAGACTCCTAGTGCCTCTACTATATGTACCAAGCAGTCAACATGTTGTTAGTCACTGTACTTAACTGTTGTGTGGCTACAATTTCAGTGAGAGTATGGGGTATGAGGCACATTTCAAGTAAAAAGGATTAAATGTAACATATTGATATGTGTGTGTATGTGTGTGTGCTTGTGTAATGTTATATATATAGTATATATACTTGTGAGCTATGTAACCATTGGCAAGTCACTTTACTTGTCAGCCTCACATTCTTAATTTGTAAAATTATGATAGATTCAGCCCTTCCTATCTCACACACTAAGTTTGGTATATACATATGGATGTGTGTGTGTGTGTGTGTGTGTGTGTTCCTATATAGCATTACACAGACACACACATCTATATATCTATAGATCTATAGACATAGATCTATAGATATAGATATATAGATATATATGCCAAACATAGTGCGTGAGATAGGAAGGGCTGACACTAACCTAATTTTACAAATTAGGAATGTGAGGCTTACAAAAGTAAAGTGACTTCCCAATGGTTACATAGCTCACAAGTGTTGAGCTGAGTTTCAGACTAAGAACTTTTAAGAACTTTTAGGGTTTCAAGTCCTTTAACTTCTGAAATGAACCTCCAAAACACCATGTCTTCTTTTTTTTCTCCTGCCATAAAAAGCTACCTATTGGCAACAAAGCATATTCAAAATCTTGAATATACTTATTTGTTTCTGATAAGAGCTGAATAGTTAAATTAGTTAATGTACGAGAGTCAGCAATTGAGAGAAAATAAATTAATACAACAATCCCTGCTATTTTGTGGACATTTTGAAGCCTGCTTTTTTGACCTAACAGTTTATCATTCAGGGAAAACAAAACACATTTTTAATTAAATTGCTTGGGAAGTCACAAATTTTTGTTGCCACAATTTCATCACCCCTCATATAAGTTATTTTTAACTTTTTATGTTTCTGTCAATGTTTGGAATCTTCAATCTTTTTATAAAATAAATATCAGAGGGCTATGAAGAGACAATTTCAACAGAGTGAATTGGGGAAAGGTGCTGGAGGATAATAGATTTCCATGGCAATAGAAAGAATAATATTTGGAATTTGTTGTTTGTTTCTCAGCCAGAGTTAGCTACTGTAAGTTAAATCCATTCATGTTTCTTTGCTACAGATAAGCTTTCATTTTCTTATTCTATGTAAGATAAACTGCTCAAAATTCTTTTCAATTAATACTGTACTACATTGTAGCTTATGGGACTAATTTAGTATTGCAGAACAAAAATTTTTATAGGCAAATCTAAGTGTCCTCCTTAAGAAACCTGTTTTTACCAATACTTTGCAACACATTAACTGATCAAACTACATTATTTATTTATTTTTATTCACTAATACTCTTTATCAGCTTTGCTGAATATAAAAAAAGGTACAACTTGAATAACTTAGCTGGTCATTTAATAAATAATTTTACTTAGACATCTACTTTGCCAAGGTTACTCAATTAAGCACTGATGATCACAATAGACAAATACAAATGGAAGCATATTAAACCATCTGTGAATGGGTGATAAGTACTACTAATTAAGAAATATTAATTAATATTTTATTATAACTTATTTATTTAGATATTTATGTCTGTTTCCCTCCTTTCACTAGGCTATATGTACCTGTGGGTAAGAATTGTGTCTAGCATCATTATTTTCCAGTATTTAATACAATTCTTGACAAGTACCAAACATTGTTAGAAGCACTCCTGAGTTGATTACTTTACATATGTGTTAAAAATCACTTTAAATAGCATATCCTCAAATAACAGGGGATTTGACATTCAGGTACAGTTGTATATTTCCTATTTTTTACCCTGTTCAATGTAAAAATATACACACAAACATAGCTCTATAACACACAAATATCCATGAATGCAAAAAGTGCATATACATTTTGGAAGACTTTTGTTCTTCTAAATCCAGAATCTATACTTGAGAGAAGAAATATACTAATTGTCCTTGCAAAAATCAAGAATATTTACTCAAGTAATCTGAAGATATTTAAATGCAGGTTCTGAGAATTATAGATGTTGATATTCCTTCCTGGTATACCTGAAAATGAAGAAAAAGTAGAAATAAAATTTTGCTACCATATTTTAATTTTAACGATAGTTATTAATGCTATTGTTTTTATAGATATTTTAAGGAAAATTATGAATATGCATCTATAGCTAATCTTTACTAAAAAGACATAAACAGATAAGTAGGTATAATTAACAACAAAAAACAATATGTGCTGATTACATACTGAACATTCTTAAAAATATCTTTCTACTGCAACTATTCAAAACATCATGTAGAAATGAATCATCCCTGTACACAGTTTAAACTTCCACAGATTTTGGTCGATTCTAATTATTTCATATCATGCCTCTACGACATTGTAAAATATGTCATGAATAATAAAGTAGGAATCAATCTCAAAGAATATCTATTTAGCCTCCCACAAAGGTTTTCCCTTTGTCATACTTCTGCTATATGTTTATACGGCTCAAATATTTAAACTTACTACAAAAAATCAGCTAATTTTCATTTTTAAACTCTTCTAATTTTTAGTGGTTTCTCAAATTATGCTATAATGTTCCTCATATAACAGTTGTTAGTTCTGTCCTTTAACACCAAGATATTAAGTCGAAACTTATTTCTCAAGACAATTGTAAAATTACCCATTAATCTCCTGTTTTTCAAGCTAAAATCTCTTGTTCATCTAAATTTGCTTCTTATGATAAGCCCCATTTTTATCTTGTTCTACTCTCAATTAATAAGTCATAATGATTAATTAATATTTCTAAGAAGAAAAATCTCATCACTATTTAATGCTAAAAAAGGGCAAATATCAATTGCAATAATTAGACTACGATTTCCAAAATTGTGCTTTTTTGTAGAATTTTTGAGCTTCATAACAGCTAAATGAATTCTTATTGCAAAAAGCACTTAAATAAGATACAAAACATAGTTCAGAAATAGAGAAAGGATAGGTAATTTTATGATTGTTAGCAAAATAAAAATGTGATAGGAACCATTAGAGAATTTCTCTTTGAGCTGAGTTACTAGAAGGGTTTTACGTCTTCACAAATGAAACTGTGGCATACAGGATGAGTGAGGTAAGTCAATGATCAGGTAATGCATATTATTGTTTGTTAGTTTGTTTGTTTAAGTGAGTAGAAATAAAGAACAATTTAAAACAAATACTCTAATGGTCATAAAAGGATTAAAGTATCAATAAAACAAAAAGTACCTACTAATAATCAATAAAGGAAGATAAAATAAAGTGCAGTTTTCAAGAGGAAAAGTAAGAGGTTGAAATGCTTTTAAAGACAAAATACATCAGTGAAAGAGGAGATGGAGGGTTGTTGATGACATTTTAAAATGCACACGACATAAAAAAATCAATACTCTCGTTTAATTAAAAAAAAGTTGTCACTGCTTAGAATGTCTGCCAACTGAAATTGTGTCTGTCTGTAAATCTTCTAACTACCCATTTCTGCTGTGCTGTAAGAGGACCTGAATGTCTGGCCTGGCAGTGTTTATTGTTTGCATTATTTTTTGCATTATTGTTTGCATGTTTATAGTTTGCATTGTTTATTGGGGTGGGCAAGGGGGATGAAGATAATGTAGATAAAATTGAAACTCAGGAAGTAGAGAGCAATGAATATTGAGCTGAAGAGAGTTAGATGGGCAAAGGGCAGAGAGGATGGCCCTTAGAGAAGGAAACCTGGTGTCCTTAAGACCAGGGCAAAAATTCAGTGGCTCTCCAGTGTAAGAAAGAAGACCCCAGTCAAATAATGGGTGTCAGAATATTAAAGAGGGTTTAAAAACCAGAGAGAGGGTAGAAGGCAAATAGGTAAGTAAACTAGGTAGGTTCTGTGTCAGAGCCTGTTAGCTAATACTGGTTAAAGTGTAAAAGAACCAGGGGCACAATGGACATTATCACTGCCCTACCTCTCCAGAAATAGCCATTAAGAATGGCCAATCAGGCCAGGTGCAATGGTTTACACCTTCGATCCCAACATTTTGGGAGGCCAAGAGGGAAGGGTCGGTTAAAGCCAGGAATTCCAAACCAACCTGCACAACATAGAGAGACCTCATCTCTACAAAAATAAAAAGAAACAAATAGGTGTGGTGGCATGTGCTTGTAATCCCAGCTACTCAGGAGGCTGAGGTGGGAGAATCATTTGAGCCTAGGTGAGGCAGCAGTGAGCCATGATTGTGCCACTGCACTGGCTCTAGCCTGGGTGATAGAGTGGGACCCTGGAGTCCACTCTTTAGCCTCCCACAAAGGAATTCCCTTAAGATCAATTCCCTTGTGAGAAAAAATAAAATAAAATAAAATAAAATAAAATAAAATAAAATAAAATAAAGTAAAACAAAAACGAATGGCTGATCAGCAGTGTCTGAAGTGAAAGGTTAACTGCTATGACATTTCTCACCAATGATGCTGAGCAGAGAACTGACCCTGGAGTAAGACTGTTGAGGTTATCCATATAACTTAAGGCAGGTTATTCAAACTCTCTGAACCTCACTACCTGCATCTGGAAATGGAGCTAGTAATAGTATTTACCATATATTATTTTATAAAACATTAAATGAGATAATTTATGTAATGTGCTTATAAGACAGTATGGTTCCTAGTAAGTATTCAGTAATTGTTGGCTTTCATAATTATACCAGGTAATTCTACATTAATATAGGTGTCATAATTTCCTTTTCACAAATGCAAAAAAAATCCCAGAGAAGTTCATAAACATGATTAGCCTTACATCACTACAGAAACAACCTTTTTCCTCAAGTTCTTCTAAAATATTTCATGTCCATTTATTATATTTCTGGAACATGCCCATTTGTTCTAAATTTTTCTTCCCTCACACTCTTTCTCCTTCTGGATCATCTCCTCTGAAATTTTCCTGAGTAGAGGGCTTTTTGTGGGTCATCTAAAGTTAGCCCATATCTCTTCTGGGAACAGAACAGCTGGAGAGGATTTCAGCTGTATCCATATGTGCATTCCAAAGGGTCAGGGAGATCTCTAAGGACTTTATTAGCTCAAAATGCCTGTCTATCAAAGTGGCATGTCTTCCCAGCATTTCCCTACACCTCATCCATGGCCTCTAATGTCTCCTTGACACACTGTCTATTGGGAACTCATATTATTTAGTCTTGCAAATTTTTAATTAGCTATCTGAGGAGAGGGAGAGATGTGTTGTCAAGATATAAGAGGAAGATAAATTAGAGAAATGCTGAGAATAAAGGTATAAAGAATAAATACAGGACATTGTAAATGACAACTGGATTGAGTCAACAAGTGGGAATACAAATCAGAATTGTGGCAGAAACTATGAAAATTACTTGAAACTTTGATTATATTGGCTTTGTTGTAAAAATGTCTGCTCAAGCAGCTTAGATATTGTTAAAAAATAGAAAGACATGTTCACTGAGCCATCAAAGGTATTCTTAAAGTGAATGCAGTATAAACAAAAGCATGAGTATGAAAGCATGATTTTGGAAATTAGAGAGACATAGACTAAAATACTCACCTTTTTTAAATATTCTGATTACTTGGACAAGTTAAAGTTTCTGAGTCTAAAGTCCAAATCAAAAACAGTTACACTAAAATCTCCTCTTTAAGATTGTTGCCAGAAATGAGTAGGCATCACTATGTAAAACTGATATAACAATATAATACTGTTTTAATAGTGCTGTATGAGTACTTACTCTGTGTTTAATACTTTATATTACAGTGTTTGGGACATAGATGATGTTCATTAGGTTGTTGCTCTTATTAGTTAAATACTACAACTTTAGCAGCGTAATTTTAGGAAGCAAATTATAACTTCAGATTATATACCAGTTTGAATTCTTGCATATGCAACCCAATTATTTTATTTCCCATTGCTACTGCCTTAATTCAGGCCTTTATCTATCATTATCCCAATGACTGTGTGGTTGGCCCAGGTTCTATATCTCTTTAGGATTTTGTTCTTCCCATCCTCACCCCGGTAGGGTGGAGTCTTTAACAATGAAGAAACATTGTGTTAGTCTAAAAAATATTATAATATTAAGAGTAAATCAACATTAGCATGAAAAAATTTGTTTTGTTTTACATGTGTTCCTCCTGGAGGAATATCAGGATCCAGGCACAATGGGTTTTTCTGGCCCTGACAAACAGTTGTACAGGATAAACCAGGGATTCTGAAGAAATAGAGATAGATAAGGCATAAGAGAGAGAGATCAGTGAGAAAGTCAACTTCTGGCTTTCCTTCTGAGACCGACTCCATGTTTCCTGAAAGGCAATTATCATTGGTTATAGACAAGACTGCATTTTTTTCTGGTAATATACTGGATTTGCACATAGTTGCAGACTTTGTATGACATAAAGGCAGGCTGGTATTTGTCCAGTCTCTCTTTTGGGATTGTTAAACTCTGATGCAGTAAGTGATTGCCCTGAATCTTATTACAATTGTTAGAAACTATTACAATAATGATGCATAGGATGAGGTGTAGATTTAGCCTTAGAAAGTATGATCCCTGACGCTTTAGGAAAGAGGAATCTAAAAAAGCAGATACCTTAGCACTAGGACAGTTGTAGTTACATAGATTTTAAAAAAGGATTTTCTAACTAGATTTTAACTAGAAAGCCAGCCAAGACTGTACCTTTTAGTTTAAGTTTATTAGGATGAGCCATAAAGCAAATTTTCTGCATGACATATTAGGAGAGGGAGCCCAGGATGAGTAATGCTAAGACTACAGACATTAAAGACATTCCAATGTCTCATTCCTGGGAAAAGAAACAAGTGACATGTAGGCAATGATAGAGCTAACGGAAGGATTCCAGTCAATCCTGGATTGTACCCCATTCACCAAGGGATCATTTGCTATCAGTGCTAGGAAGGAGATAGGATAAGCTGGCCAGACATTCTTTTATGTCATCAGATTGCAAAAGTCCAGAATTTTTATAAGGCTTATTAGCAGATATGTGGCTTTAGAGACTGAAATGAAGTGTTCCAGATACCATAAAACAAGAATGTTATGGAGACTTTCAAGTCTTTCTCTGAGATTGTTGTAGACACCTAAACATCATATTTGACTGCTCTAATGTAAGTTTTTGATGAAGTAGAAAATGCCAAGAATGTTCTCTAAATCCAATTTGTTTTTAATTTTGTTGTCAGACTAAAGATAATTTTACTAAGAGCAATAGCAACAAAGGAAGCTAAAGAAACCTAGTGAAACTTGTGACATGGGGAACTTACAAAATAAAGAGGGATAATAGGCTGCACACCAGGCAGCTTCCTGCGTTACTGATAAAACCTTAAGTCCATTACTACTTCCATAACTGAGGATAGAGGAGTACTGCCAAGTGTAGTATGAGGATGTGGAGATATACCAGTAATGCTGAAGAAAGAGAAAATAATACCTGTAAAATAAACGTGATCTTCTTTCAAAGTCATGAGATTTCTGCTCTAAACATGAGAGATTATCCTTAATTCATTCATTTATTTGTTCAGTGTCAAGAACTGTGAAGACTTTGATATTTTTACCCTACTTACAAACTACCAAGTTAGCATGGATACTGCCAGGAGACATGAGACTTCTGAGTCAGAGACAAAGGACTTCATCACTCACAACAACAATGGGAGCCAGAATATAAACATTTTCTTGTGTCAGTTCCTCAAGCACAATTTTCAAAAGGCCATGTGAAGAGAGCCAGATGACACCTATCTATTCAGTATGTTGCATTAAGAGAGGGAAACCTAAGTTTAGGGAACACAGATCTTTTATAAGGAATAGTAAAAATATTTGCTCTTTCTTTAGATGGAGACACCATCAATCTTTCCAGACTGTTTACCATGAAACCATCTTAGAAAAGACAATCTGAAAAAAAAAAAAGAAAGTCAGTGATTCTGCTCGTAAATCATACAGAAACACAAAAGAACCATGGAGAATTGTTCCCTATTAATATCCACCTCTTATTTCTACACTATCTTGTATTTTGGCAAATTTTCCTAGGAGTATACCACTCTGTTGGCCATTCTAAGCAACAGAAGCAGGGAGAAAATTGAGGCTGCTCAATTTGTCCCATATTTATTGTTGGTAGAAAGGCTACTATCAACAGGACTTCAAGTAACAGGATGAAGTAAACCTATGGTATAACTTTCAACCTTGTATACCAGGGTTCTAGACCCAACCAACTCAACAACTCCTTAAAAGCATCAGGGTCTACCTGAGATGAAGAATGAATTTCTTTTTATTTTTATTTTTTCCCATATTGACCTTTCCACCTGGCCTGAGGCACTAATCCAAGTGCAATAGAATATATTTGAGATTGCACAGAAACTGTCTTGGTTTTCAAGCACAAAGTATAGAGTAATTATTTCTTCCATAACAACTTTGGACAGTGAAGTGAAGCCTGAATATCTTTCAGGGCCGAAATAGTGTTACTGGTTACTTCAGACAAAATCAGGAGCAAATTTCATATTACCGTTTCAAATTGTATGACTTCCATTATAGGGATAATTGTATACAGGTTTCACATGAATAAGTCACTTACCTCTGGAAAAATCACCAAAGGGTTGCCTCATTTCAGGGAACTCTCCATAGTTATTTGAAAGCTACGTGTTATACTGATGTAATTTTGTTAAATACTTGAAGATATTTTATGGTCATTCATAAAGGGCAAGTTACCATGTCTTCAGAGGGTAGTCAAGTTAATGCCTGGCTTGTAAGCAGAAGTGCAATCTCACAGATCTACATAGTATCCACAGAGAAAAGTATAATTACAAATTTTGTGCCCCACATGGGGCTTATATCATGAGGGTCACAGGTTGATAGTGCCTATGATGTGTCCTCCCAGCTAGCTGGCACATTTTAGAATTCCCAATTCAGTTCAAATAGAATGTTTCTTGAGGGATTGCCTGACACGTCACTACAACTTACAGTATTTTGTCTGTGCCAACAGCAAGGTGGCATTCATCTACTACATGAAATAACTGAATAATATCTGTGGAAAGTGGAGTGCGAGAAACATCCCAAGGTGCTGACAGTTATTTTGCATGGGATATGCAGGAACTGAGGGCGTCCTCTGCTGTTTTCCAGTTGACTTCACAGTGAATTTTAGGAAAGCAGCATTCAAATCGTGGTCATATTTCCATGTGGTAGAGGATGAAAGACTCTGCTGTCACTTAAATTGAAAGCACTTTCCACAGTTAGGGAGACGCACACCAAGGAGTTTTTTTTCATCATGATGATTCTGAAAGACAGCATGGTGATGACATTAGGGAAAAGAAAAGGTATCATGATCAAGAATGAACAGGGTAGAATGCCAACTGTTCATAATAGATCTATGTAACCCACTCTTTTTGTCCTGATGATTACCCAGGAAGTAGCCAAATGAGATAGCCACTTTCTGGGGATAACCACTGAACTCTCTTGCTAAAAGCTGGGGACTGAGAGGTTTTGAGGGATATAGACTCAGAATCCTTTCGAATTGATTTTTTTTATTTTTTTATTTTATTTTATTATTATTATACTTTAAGTTTTAGGGTACATGTGCACAATGTGCAGCTTAGTTACATATGTATACATGTGCCATGCTGGTGTGCTGCACCCATTAACTTGTCATTTAGCATTAGGTATATCTCCTAATGCTATCCCTCCACCCTCCCCCCCCCACAACAGTCCCCAGAGTGTGATGTTCCCCTTCCTGTGTCCATGTGTTCTCATTGTTCAATTCCCACCTATGAGTGACAACATGTGGTGTTTGGTTTTTTGTCCTTGCGATAGTTTACTGAGAATGATGATTTCCAGTTTCATCCATGTCCCTACAAAGGACATGAACTCATCATTTTTTATGACTGCATAGTATTCCATGGTGTATATGTGCCACATTTTGTTAATCCAGTCTATCATTGTTGGACATCTGGGTTGGTTCCAAGTCTTTGCTATTGTGAATAGTGCCACAATAAACATACATGTGCATGTGTCTTTAAAGCAGCATGATTTATAGTTCTTTCGGTATATACCCAGTAATGGGATAGCTGGGTCAAATGGTATTTCTAGTTCTAGATCCCTGTGGAATCACCACACTGACTTCCACAATGGTTGAACTAGTTTACAGTCCCACCAACAGTGTAAAAGTGTTCCTATTTCTCCATATCCTCTCCAGCACCTGTTGTTTCCTGACTTTTT
Source organism: Homo sapiens (assembly GCF_000001405.40). NCBI lineage: Eukaryota > Metazoa > Chordata > Mammalia > Primates > Hominidae > Homo > Homo sapiens. The sequence continues at coordinate 134,213,252 of NC_000004.12, read as the reverse complement.
AATGATTGCCATTCTAACTGGTGTGAGATCGTATCTCATTGTGGTTTTGATTTGCATTTCTCTGATGGCCAGTGATGGTGAGCATTTTTTCATGTGTTTTTTGGCTGCATAAATGTCTTCTTTTGAGAAGTGTCTGTTCATGTCCTTCGCCCACTTTTTGATGGGGTTGTTTGTTTTTTTTCTCGTAAATTTGTTTGAGTTCATTGTAGATTCTGGATATTAGCCCTTTGTCAGATGAGTAGGTTGCGAAAATTTTCTCCCATTTTGTAGGTTGCCTGTTCACTCTGATGGTAGTTTCTTTTGCTGTGCAGAAGCTCTTTAGTTTAATGAGATCCCATTTGTCAATTTTGGCTTTTGTTGCCATTGCTTTTGGTGTTTTAGACATGAAGTCCTTGCCCACGCCTATGTCCTGAATGGTAATGCCTAGGTTTTCTTCTAGGGTTTTTATGGTTTTAGGTCTAACGTTTAAGTCTGTAATCCATCTTGAATTAATTTTTGTATAAGGTGTAAGGAAGGGATCCAGTTTCAGCTTTCTACATATGGCTAGTCAGTTTTCCCAGCGCCATTTATTAAATAGGGAATCCTTTCCCCATTGCTTGTTTTTCTCATGTTTGTCAAAGATCAGATAGTTGTAGATACACAGCATTATTTCTGAAGGCTCTGTTCTGTTCCATTGATCTATATCTCTGTTTTGGTACCAGTACCTTGCTGTTTTGGTTACTGTAGCCTTGTAGTATAGTTTGAAGTCAGGTAGCGTGATGCCTCCAGCTTTGTTCTTTTGGCTTAGGATTGACTTGGCGATGCAGGCTCTTTTTTGGTTCCATATGAACTTTAAAGTAGTTTTTTCCAATTCTGTGAAGAAAGTCATTGGTAGCTTGATGGGGATGGCATTGAATCTATAAATTACCTTGGGCAGTATGGCCATGTTCACGATATTCATTCTTCCTACCCATGAGCATGGAATGTTCTTTCATTTCTTTGTATCCTCTTTTATTTCATTGAGCAGTGGTTTGTAGTTCTCCTTGAAGAGGCCCTTCACGTCCCTTGTAAGTTGGATTCCTAGGTATTTTATTCTCTTTGAAGCAATTGTAAATGGGAGTTCACTCATGATTTGGCTCTCTGTTTGTCTGTTATTGGTGTATAAGAATGCTTGTGATTTTTGTACATTGATTTTGTATCCTGAGACTTTGCTGAAGTTGCTTATCAGCTTAAGGGGATTTTTGGCTGAGACAATGGGATTTTCTAGATATACAGTCATGTCATCTGCAAACAGGGACAATTTGACTTCCTCTTTTCCTAATTGAATACCCTTTATTTCCTTCTCCTGCCTAATTGCCCTGGCCAGAACTTCCAACACTATGTTGAAAAGGAGTGGTGAGAGAGGGCATCCCTGTCTTGTGCCAGTTTTCAAAGGGAATGCTTCCAGTTTTTGCCCATTCAGTATGATATTGGTTGTGGGTTTGTCATAGATATCTCTTATTATTTTGAGATACGTCCCATCAATACCTAATTTATTGAGAGTTTTTGGCATGAAGGGTTGTTGAATTTTCTCAAAGGCCTTTTCTGCATCTATTGAGATAATCATGTGATTTTTGTCTTTGGCTCTGTTTATATGCTGGATTACATTTATTTATTTGCGTATTTTGAACCAACCTTGCATCCCAGGGATGAAGCCCACTTGATCATGGTGGATAAGCTTTTTGATGTGCTGCTGGATTCCATTTGCCAGTGTTTTATTGAGGATTTTTGCATCAATGTTCATCAAGGATATTGGTCTAAAATTCTCTTTTTTGGTTGTGTCTCTGCCCAGCTTTGGTATCAGGATGATGCTGGCCTCATAAAATGAGTTAGGGAGGATTCCCTCTTTTTCTATTGATTGGAATAGTTTCAGAAGGAATGGTACCAGTTCCTCCTTGTACCGCTGGTAGAATTCGGCTGTGAATCCATCTGGTCCTGGACTCTTTTTGGTTGGTAAGCTATTGATTATTGCCACAATTTCAGAGCCTGTTATTGGTCTATTCAGAGATTCAACTTCTTCCTGCTTTAGTCTTGGGAGAGTGTATGTGTCGAGGAATTTATCCATTTCTTCTAGGTTTTCTAGTTTATTTGCGTAGAGGTGTTTGTAGTATTCTCTGATGGTAGTTTGTATTTCTGTAGGATCAGTGGTGATATCCCCTTTATCATTTTTTATTGTGTCTATTTGATTCTTCTCTCTTTTTTTCTTTATTAGTCTTGCTAGCGGTCTATCAATTTTGTTGATCCTTTCAAAAAACCAGCTCCTGGATTCATTAATTTTTTGAAGGGTTTTTTGTGTCTCTATTTCCTTCAGTTCTGCTCTGATTTTAGTTATTTCTTGCCTTCTGCTAGCTTTTGAATGTGTTTGCTCTTGCTTTTCTAGTTCTTTTAATTGTGATGTTAGGGTGTCAATTTTGGATCTTTGCTGCTTTCTCTTGTGGGCATTTAGTGCTATAAATTTCCCTCTACACACTGCTTTGACTGTGTCCCAGAGATTCTGGTATGTTGTGTCTTTGTTCTCGTTGGTTTCAAAGAACATCTTTATTTCTGCCTTCATTTCATTATGTACCCAATAGTCATTCAGGAGCAGGTTGTTCAGTTTCCATGTAGTTGAGCGGTTTTGAGTGAGTTTCTTAATACTGAGTTCTAGTTTGATTGCACTGTGGTCTGAGAGACAGTTTGTTATAATTTCTGTTCTTTTACATTTGCCGAGGAGAGCTTTACTTCAAACTATGTGGTCAATTTTGGAATAGGTGTGGTGTGGTGCTGAAAAAATGTATATTCTGTTGATTTGGGGTGGAGAGTTCTGTAGATGTCTATTAGGTCCGCTTGGTGCAGAGCTGAGTTCAATTCCTGGGTATCCTTTTTAATTTTCTGTCTCATTGATCTGTCTAATGTTGACAGTGGGGTGTTAAGGTCTCCCATTATTATTGTGTGGGAGTCTAAGTCTCTTGGTAGGTCACTCAGGACTTGCTTTATGAATCTGGGTGCTCCTGTATTGAGTGCATATATATGTAGGATAGTTAGCTCTTGTTGGTGAATTGATCCCTTTACCATTATATAATGGCCTTCTTCGTCTCTTTTGATCTTTGTTGGTTTAAAGTCTGTTTTATCAGAGACTAGGATTGCAACCCCTGCCTTTTTTTGTTTTCCATTTGCTTGGTAGATCTTCTTCCATCCTTTTATTTTGAGCCTATGTGTGTCTCTGCATGTGAGATGGGTTTCCTGAATACAGCACACTGATGGTTCTTGACTCTTTATCCAATTTGCCAGTCTGTGTCTTTTAATTGGAGCATTTAGTCCATTTACATTTAAAGTTAATATTGTTATGTGTGAATTTGATCCTGTCATTATGATGTTAGCTGGTGATTTTGCTCATTAGTTGATGCAGTTTCTTCCTAGTGTCGATGGTCTTTACATTTTTGCATGATTTTGCAGCGGCTGGTACCGGTTGTTCCTTTCCATGTTTAGTGCTTCCTTCAGGAGCTCTTTTAGGGCAGGCCTGGTGGTGACAAAATCTCTCAGCATTTGCTTGTCTGTAAAGTATTTTATTTCTCCTTCACTTATGAAGCTTAGTTTGGCTGGATATGAAATTCTGGGTTGAAAATTCTTTTCTTTAAGAATGTTGAATATTGGCCCCCACTCTCTTCTGGCTTGTAGAGTTTCTGCTGAGAGATCCGCTGTTAGTCTGTTGGGCTTCCCTTTGTGGGTAACCCAACCTTTCTCTCTGGCTGCCCTTAACATTTTTTCCTTCATTTCAACTTTGGTGAATCTGACAATTATGTGTCTTGGAGTTGCTCTTCTCAAGGAGTATCTTTGTGGCGTTCTCTGTATTTCCTGAATCTGAATGTTGGCCTGCCTTGCTAGGTTGGGGAAGTGATCCTGGATAATATCCTGCAGAGTGTTTTCCAACTTGGTTCCATTCTCCCCGTCACTTTCAGGTACACCAATCAGATGTAGATTTGGTCTGTTCACATAGTCCCATATTTCTTGGAGGCTTTGTTCATTTCTTTTTATTCTTTTTTCTCTAAACTTCCCTTCTCACTTCATTTCATTCATTTCATCTTCCATCCTGATACCCTTTCTTCCAGTTGATCGCATCAGCTCCTGAGGCTTCTGCATTCTTCACGTAGTTCTCGAGCCTTGTCTTTCAGGTCCATCAGCTCCTTTAAGCACTTCTCTGTATTTGGTTATTCTAGTTATACATTTGTCTAAATTTTTTTCAAAGTTTTTAACTTCTTTGCCTTTGGTTTGAATTTCCTCCTGTAGCTTGGAGTAGTTTGATCGTCTGAAGCCTTCTTCTCTCAACTCGTCAAAGTCATTCTCCATCCAGCTTTGTTCCATTGCTGGTGAGGAACTGCGTTCCTTTGGAGGAGGAGAGGCACTCTGCTTTTTAGAGTTTCCAGTTTTTCTGCTCTGTTTTTTCCCCATCTTTGTGGTTTTATCTACTTTTGGTCTTTGATGATGGTGATGTACAGATGGGTTTTTGGTGTGGATGTCCTTTCTGTTTGTTAGTTTTCCTTCTAACAGACAGGACCCTCAGCTGCAGGTCTGTTGGAGTTTGCTAGAGGTCCACTCCAGACCCTGTTTGCCTGGATATCAGCAGCGGTGGCTGCAGAATAGCGGATTTTCGTGAACCGCGAATGCTGCTGTCTGATTGTTCCTCTGGAAGTTTTGTCTCAGAGGAGTACCCGGCCTTATGAGGTGTCAGTCTGTCCCTACTGGGGGGTGCCTCCCAGTTAGGCTGCTCGGGTGTCAGGGGTCAGGGACCCACTTGAGGAGGCAGTCTGCCAGTTCTCAGATCTCCAGCTGCGTGCTGGGAGAACCACTGCTCTCTTCAAAGCTGTCAGACAGGGACATTTAAGTCTGCAGAGCTTACTGCTGTCTTTTTGTTTGTCTGTGCCCTGCCCCCAGAGGTGGAGCCTACAGAGGCAGGCTGGCCTCCTTGAGCTGTGGTGGGCTCCACCCAGTTCGAGCTTCCTGGCTGCTTTGTTTACCTAAGCAAGCCTGGGCAATGGCGGCCGCCCCTCCCCCAGCCTCGCTGTTGCCTTGCAGTTTAATCTCAGACTGCTGTGCTAGCAATCAGTGAGACTCCGTGGGCATAGGATCCCCCGAGCCAGGTGCGGGATATAATCTCCTGGTGCACCATTTTTTAAGCCCGTCGGAAAAGAGCAGTATTCGGGTGGGAGTAATCCGATTTTCCAGGTGCTGTCTGTCACCCCTTTCTTTGACTAGGAAAGGGAACTCCCTGACCCCTTGCACTTCCCAAGTGAGGCAATGCCTCGCCCTGCTTCAGCTCACGCACTGTGCGCTGCACCCACTGTCCTGCGCCCACTGTCTGGCACTCCCTAGTGAGATGAACCCAGTACCTCAGATGGAAATGCAGAAATCACTCGTCTTCTGTGTTGCTCGCGCTGGGAGCTGTAGACCAGAGCTGTTCCTATTTGGCCATCTTTGCTGCCCGATCTACATCTCGAACTGATTTTTTTAAGAAGGACATTCCAATTTTCAGCACAACCTGATTTCTACAGATAGTTTGGCATAAGGAAAGTCTATTGAAGTCTATCTTGATTATCAAGGTGTTGTAGAGTGGGTTTCATGATAGAAGATATTCCATTGTCAGACTGTCAATATTTCTGGTTCTAAAAACTAAAAATGTAAGACTTTCGTTCCAAAGGCCACAATAGTGTAGCCGCAGTGGGCTGATAGAATTTAAACCGTAACACTGCAACCTAAAAATGGATCAATGGTGGTGGGACAGCACTGATAGCCTCAAGAAGTGTTATCCCACTAGAGCTTTCCAGGAGTCGTCAGAACTCAATGCCATGTAGCCTTCCTTGCCTCAAAAGCAAGTCAGAAAATGTATGATATATTGATGGACACAGTTAGCAATGGTAGCAGTCTGAGTGGTGCGAGGTCAATCTCCAGCTCAATTACTATCTTATGAGTGAATGACCCTTAATATGGCATCTACATGAAGGACCAAGATGTTTCTATAAGGGATAGCAATTTATTTCCACAGTTCAGTGCCCTAGAATCTGCCAATTTGTAGAAATGTATAAGCATCTAACATATAAATTCCTATTATAAATTTTGTTGTGAAATTGGTTATAAATCAGTTGTAAAATAAGTAAAAATGGTACATTAAATTGGTCCAATGAAGCAGCCCACAAGGTCCATTTAGCTTCTTTCCCTACTGTGAACATTGTCTAAACCCCATCAGCTGGATTTGGGCACTCTCACCTGCCAGGGAACCAGGCAGTATTATAACTTGGGTATCAGTATCTAATAAAACCACTGAAATTTGACGCTATTTCCTGAAATATAATACCTCAGTATGCTTACATAGATCTGAATAATGTTATTTATCTTTCTCTTAAATAGGTCTGAATGATGTTATTGTCTTATTTCTCTTAGGAGCCTTGGCCCTATCTCTAATTATCTTTCTCATTGAAATGACTGAGTTTGTGGTGGGGGACAGAGGAGGATCAGGGGATGTACATAAACGAAGCAACCTTTTATCATAAAGTAAGTCTTCACATCAGTTTCTACTGGTGTGATGACAGCTTGGGATTGAAGTAAATGAATTTCCATTGTTTTTATTCTGCTCAAAGCTGTATATCAGGTGATATGTGATGATTGACACCATCTATTTCAGCCTTGGGGGACATTTACCTTTCATCAAGATCTACTAGCAATCAAGCATTACTTATTGAAAAATTTCCATATGTGCCATATAGAGAAAGGTAACTCTGAAATGTAAATCATATTCCTCATTCTCAAGAAATTAACACTATATTTGGGTAAGAAAAACAAAACGAAAAACACAAGCAACAACAACAATAACAAATAACAACTGGAAAGAGATTATTGTCAAAAAAAAGAACCAAATAATCTGAAAGATACAATATTATACTTTGTAGTAAATTGAACATGGTAGTTTCATAATACAACAAAAACAAGTTTTCTTTATTTAATTACTATGTATTAAGGCAATAAAGACCATTTTGAACTCAAATAACAAAAATTTTATTAATAGTTGACTACATCAGAACAATGATTCAAGACTTCAGAAACTAATTTTACCTAATTTAGTATGAGAGATTTTTATTTTAAAATGCATTTCCATACCCAAAATAGCTACTTATTAATATCTTCATGATAAATACCAAAATAAACAATAACTTCCATTGCTGTGAATATCAGTGAGTAGAAATACTGACGGTTTTCCTGCCATTTAAGCAAAACAGCAGTCTCATCCTCTCCTAATTCTGTGAGCCACCCACACAACAACCTTGTACATTGGAGGGCAATTGAACTAAATAACATAAGGTAGGCAAAATTACAATTTTTTTTCAAGATTAGGCAATCTACTGTCTATTTTCAAGAGATTCAATTTTTTAGCTCTCACATATGAGTTAGAACATGCAATATTTATCTCTCTGTCCCTGGCCTATTTCAATTAACATAATGACTTCCAGTTCCAACCATGTTGCTGCAAATGACAGGATTTCAATCTTTTTTATGGTTGCATAATATTCCATTGTGTATATATACATATATATATGCATATATATACACACACACACACACACACATTTTATTTATTCATTCATCCACTGGTGGACACTTCAGTTGATTCCATAAATCTTGTCTGTTGTGAATAGTACTGTAATAAACAAGAGAATGCAGATAATCTCTTCAAATATATTGCATTCCTTTCTATTTTTAAAAGAATTAACTGCATGTACATATAAAGCAAGCGAGGGATTAGCTTGACAAGAGAAAATATATGTAGTTACAATGATATTGATCTTGCAGTCTTTGGTGTCATTTGCTATTTTTTTACTAAAATGTTATGAAAGAGAGATTAGTAAAATTATTCCAGTAACAAAATGCAACATGGACTGATATACAGACAGCCCGAATCAAAGAAGGTGAATGAATAAGACTCATGCAGTAATATACAAGGAAATGAAGTAAAGGCAGTAGCAAAGGGAAGGGAAAGAAAGGGCAAATGTAAAGGACACCCCAAGTGAAGAAATTATTCACTGAACACAACTGACAAAAAGAGGAGATTTAGTGAATTAAAGACAAGGAAGAATCATAGTTACTTAAAAAATGCTGTATTTGTTAAAATATAAAAAGAAAAACACCATAACTAGAACAAATAGGAAGATGTATAATAATTAGTCATTTAACCAACTGAGGTTTGTACCAGTTGCCTGTAAGTTGATTAGAGAATGTAGGACTAAATTCTAAATTTGGAGATTCTTCTCATTTTTCACAAAATGTCGAGTGAAGATCACACTAAGGTAAAATGAAAAACCCACAAGTTCTTGAAATATTTTGGTATCTTGTTATAGCTGAAGTACCGTTGTATTCAAACAACACAAAGAACTGATGAGATCTAAACTATATTTTTTAGAAATTAAAAATCTTAAGACTAAATTCTTAGGGACTACACACTTAGGAGCTTTCTTAAAAAACAAAAACAAAAAAAAAAACTCCTGATAATATTGAACATAGTAATCACTGTTTTATTTATGTTAAACAACACCAAATAGCATCTAAATTCTTAAAGTATGTGCTGGAGTACTGCCCAAATCCATTAATGGTATCTACAACTATGTTGGTGATTTCTTTTCCTTTTTAAAATTGCAGATTTCAAGACAGGCTGAAAGAAAAGATTACTGTATTTATTTATTTGAACAAATGATGCTACAGGAACAACACATATTGAAATAAATTTTACAAACAGCCAGGCACAGTGACTTATGCCTCTAATCCTAGCATTCTGAGAGGCTAAGGCAGGAGGATCACTTGAGCCCAGGAACTGGAGATAGTCCTGGTCAACAGGCAAGACCCTGTCTCCACAATAAAACATAAATAAATAAATAAATAGCCTGGCATGGTGGCATGTGTCTGTTGTTCCAACTCTTAGAGAGGCTGAGGTGGAGGGACTGCTTGAGCCCAGGAAGTCCAAGGTGCAGAGAGCCCTGTTTGCATCACTGCACTCCAGCTTGGCTAACAGAGTGAGACCCTGCCTAAAAAAATTACAAACTAAAACAAAACAAAACAAAAAAACAAAAACAAGAGAAAAACAAACAAGTTCATGTGTAATTTAGCATATATATTTTATACTCTCATGTACATATAAAATATTTTATATGTACATGAGTATGTATATTTTACATATATTCTCATGTATATATAAAATATATAATGAGTAGTTCTCAAAGAGGTGACTCACCTCTTTGGTGAATTTCAGATTATATAGCACCTTCTTCTTCTAAGTAAATTCTTAGAGAAGTGGTAAAACAAACAAAAAAGGACTTTAAGTTGTTACGGGCAGCAACTTGGGGGAAGGTGAATCAATCAATGGTAGATAAATGCTAGTTATCTTGTTAAAATTTGTTAATATAGATTCCTCTCGTACCTTCTCCAGGCTGATAGGGTCCAAAGTTGTCTTCAGTGGCTAACATTTGCGAGTGGGTTTGGGGAGGGCAAGGTAACATTTTTCATTATAACTCTATCATGCTTTTAGGCAAGTAGATGGAGGGCAGTGAGCTTTCCTGCATCTGCTTCTTCTTAATTATCTTCAGCTCAGTAATCTCTCATATTTTGGAGTGGCATCTTCTCATCTCCCACATAGGAAATTTTAGATAGATTACAATCAATTTGGATTTTATAGTGAAAATCATGCTCCAGTTTTATTTAATGCATTTCTAAGAATGAATTTTGCTAGAGTATTATTATCTTCTGCAAGTTAAACACATATTTTTAGTTTTCCAGTTCTTACATTAGAAAAGATCCCTCTAAATGAGGATTCATTTAGTCTTGCTACTCAGTGTGGTTCAGAGACCAGCAGAATTTGCATCACTCAGGAACTTGTTCGAAAAGTTGAATCTCAGGTCCACCTCAAGCTACTGAATCAGAATCTGCTTTTTCAACAAGAGCACTAGTTTTTTCCTATGTCCAGTAAAGTGAAAAAGTACTAAATTTGCCTTACATTAACTGATCCACCCAATTCAGATTTGCAGGTAATGTTCTGCCCTGAAGAGGGGTTGTTTTACCCCAGTGGGTCCTTTACCTGCCTGTTGCCATTGAGACAGTAGAAAGACGGGAGGTTCTGTTAAGCAGAGCAGAAACTTTATTTGTTGTTCAAAGAGTAGAGAAGGTGAGCTTCCCATTCACCTTTTCCCCAGGTGTGTGCAGAAGGGGGATTTTTAAGGTCTCTTAGAGCATGAAGGTGGAGACTAAGGATGCGAATTCCTGGAAAGAGGTGGGACTTTCCAGAGAAAACTAGAATGTGTGCAGTCTTGTTCTTTCTTTTGCACTGGGCACTTACTATATGTGCCTAGCAAAGGGCATCTCTCCCCACTGGGCAGAGATTTTAATATGATAAGGAAGTGAGGATTCAGGTCTGTCTGAGTAGCACTGCCAAGCTGAGTTTTTATCTCGTGGCTTGTTTGTGGCTACTGGCATCCAGCCCGGCTTTTGTTTCTGTAAACAAGTACAACTGAGACCACAGGTTAATTTCATAGGTTCTGGCACTCTTGGAGAATCAAGGTCATGCTACCGTGACAGTAACTTATTGACTCTCTAAGATGCATTATGATTCAAATTTTAAGGATTCATTAGATACTAAAGAATTTTATTTAATGCTAAAGAAAATGAAATCATTGTTACTGGAAACCACTTATGTATCTGATATTGTGTTATCCATTTCCAAATCTATTAACTCATTTCACACGTAAAATACTCTCTAAGATAAGTGCCACCGCCTCCATTTAACTAGATGTGAAAACTAACCTGAGGCTAAGATTTGTTCAATAAATACTGCACATCCCTTGTCTGCAAGTCCCTGAGAATAAAGTGCACATGGCTTCTATTGTTACGAAATATGCAATATTTTGTAATTAGACAAAAGCCGGCAAGTACAGGGTAGTGTTAGAGTTTCTAAGAGGGAAACCTAAATTGTCAGAGGGGTTTAGAAAAAACATCTATTTGGAAAGAGCATTTTAACTCATTTCCGAAGAACACATTTTTATAAAGTTGGCTCTGAAAAACGCTAGTGTGTCTTGGAGTTTTGTAAGGGGAACTAAGCAGCAGTTGAGGCTGGAACATTTCAGGAATCCTGCAGAACTTTATAGAACAAGGTGCGGATGTTGGACCTTATCCAAAAGTCAAAGGAAGCCACTGGAGGGTTTGAAGCCAGGAAGTGACAGGCCCTGATCCACATTTGGAAAGGCTCCTTCACTCAGACCCATGCAAAGCCCTGCGGGCGGGTGGGTTTATTGGGGCCACTCCCCTCGGCTGCCTTTCTCCACCCCAGTCACCGCCTCCTGCTTCTCAGCTTAGCCATCTGAGGAGGGTGGGAAACGTGTAATAGGGGCGGGGGGAAGAAAAACGTTCTTAAAAAAAATATTAAAAAGAAAACATCCCACTTGGCAGCGAGTGCGCGGGAAGTTCAGCGCGCGAGTTCCGGGCTTCCCGCCCGCCCGCAGACGACCGCCGGTGAGCCCCCAGCCCCCGCCTGGCCGCCCGCTTCGCCGCGTCCGTCAGTCCGTCGGTCTGTCAGCCTCCCCTTCCCCCACGCCTCCTTTCTCCGGGCGCCGCGCGGGTCGGGAGGTCGGAGGGGCCCCCTAGGTCTTCAGGACGCCCTTGGCCCGCGTCGCTGCCGGCAGCGCCTCGGCGGCGGCGGCGCCTGCAGAACCCGGTACCTGGCAGGTTCGGGTCTCTGCCGGGCAGAACCTCGCAGCCCATACTCCACGGCTGGGGCCTCTGACGCCTCCGCTTGTGGAGTTCTTCCCTGAGCGGCTGTAACTTTAAACCACTCTGAGCGAGGCCTATTTTTATTCAGAAACCAGCGACCAGGGCGTCTGTGGAGAATGCTCAGATGGAGGGCCAGCCCGCCACTTGAAGTTTTCTCACAAATCTGAGGGGAAGGAACGTCTTGTCCTAATAATCTCTCTTTGCGATTTCACAGTTCTGTTGCCGCGTCCTAGGAGGGCCAGATTGGTGGCTGTGGGGACTTTTGGATGAGGGTGTTGCCTGAGCTGGGGGAGTCGTGTCTGAACTCCATTGCTTGGCCTTTGTGTGGTGATCCCGAGGCCTCCACACTTGAACCGGGCCAAAGCTGTGACCTAGTATCCCCCCACAGGGATTGCTCAAAGAACTCCAGGGGACAAACTCACAGTGGCAAGGACAAGGAGATGAATGTAGCAGCCAAGTACCGCATGGCCTCCCTGTATGTGGGTGACTTACATGCAGATGTCACCGAGGACCTGCTGTTCAGGAAGTTCAGCACTGTGGGGCCTGTGCTGTCCATCCGCATTTGCAGGGACCAGGTCACCCGCCGCTCTCTGGGCTATGCCTACGTGAACTTCTTGCAGCTGGCTGATGCCCAGAAGGCGCTGGACACAATGAACTTTGACATCATAAAAGGCAAATCCATCCGTCTCATGTGGTCTCAGCGCGATGCCTACTTGAGGAGATCTGGAATTGGGAACGTATTCATCAAGAATCTGGACAAATCTATCGATAACAAAACCCTTTATGAACATTTTTCAGCTTTTGGAAAGATCCTTTCCTCCAAGGTGATGAGTGATGATCAAGGCTCCAAGGGCTATGCATTTGTGCACTTTCAGAACCAGAGTGCTGCAGACAGGGCCATTGAGGAGATGAATGGAAAACTACTCAAGGGCTGCAAGGTGTTTGTTGGCAGATTCAAAAACCGAAAAGATCGTGAAGCTGAACTCAGAAGCAAAGCCAGTGAATTCACCAATGTTTACATAAAAAACTTTGGAGGTGACATGGATGATGAGAGATTGAAGGACGTTTTCAGCAAATATGGCAAAACTCTGAGTGTTAAGGTGATGACAGATTCCAGTGGGAAATCCAAAGGCTTTGGCTTTGTGAGTTTTGATAGCCATGAGGCTGCCAAGAAAGCTGTTGAAGAAATGAATGGAAGGGACATAAATGGGCAGCTGATTTTTGTAGGCCGGGCTCAAAAGAAAGTCGAGCGACAGGCTGAGTTAAAGCAAATGTTTGAGCAGCTGAAAAGGGAACGAATTCGTGGGTGCCAGGGGGTAAAACTCTATATTAAGAACCTTGATGACACCATCGATGATGAAAAACTACGAAACGAATTTTCTTCATTTGGATCAATTAGCAGAGTTAAGGTAATGCAGGAAGAGGGGCAGAGCAAAGGGTTTGGCTTGATCTGCTTCTCCTCTCCTGAGGATGCTACTAAAGCAATGACTGAGATGAATGGCCGCATCTTGGGCTCCAAACCTCTTAGCATTGCCTTGGCCCAGAGACACTAGGAAAGAAAAACGTACCTTTCCAGCTAGTATCTGCAGCAGGTGGGAGAATGATAGTGATCTCTGCCTGAATTGACCTCAGTAAATTTCATATTCCACATGATGGGTGCTTAGTTTAGTAAACTTTATGATAAAACGTTTTTTATACAAAGCCATTTTTTTTCTTTTGTGGAAAAATAGATGGAGCTTAGTTCATTTTACAGAGGCACATTTTCTAATTTTAATATTGCACATTTTTCTTATTTTGATATGTTCATAGCAATAAGTATAAATAGATATATTTTTACATTTGAACCAAATGAAATGAGGTAATTATTTGAATTTATTGCATATTTATTATTTTAGTAATATTGCTAGCTTTAATTTCTTCTATGAAAATATGCTCAAAATAGTTCTTACAACTAAAGATTCCAAAGTATTTTTACCAACAGAAATTTTCTAATTTTTCATCCAAGTTTTGAGAAATCAAACTTTTAGAAATTTATAGTACGAATTTAAAGACCTAATTTCATTTTGAATTAATGCTTAAAATAGTCAGATATAGTTGAATTTCTTTTAAATTTATATCCTGACATGCTTGTTTTTCGGATGGTTTAAATTAAGATGATGGAAGTTTTTAATGTTGCCTAAAAACTGGCTTTATGTGTTTTGTTCTTTCCATTAGTTGACTATAATTCAGGTACTTACTAGTTAATCTAAATTGTAACTTGCACTGTAAAACCTTAACTTCTACATTCCTTAAGTTATAAATCTGTTATCAACTCAGGTGATCCAAAGTTGGCCTGGTCTTAAATCTCTTCATACCTATATGGCTTAATATATTATCTTAAATTTTTACCAGATGCTAATATTATGAAAATCATACATACAGATTATAGAAATTCTGTTTAAAAACTTTTAAAATCTCTTTTATATTGTTTTGTGTAGTGATTTTCTCTTAGGGTTCAGAAAAGTAAGTTCCTCTATTTTTATGTACTCACATCTCCTTTTATTAGAATGTGGCAGCTATGGAACCCATTAAGGTTCACTTTTAGCCTTCATTGATCAGAAACACTGATTGATTTTCTGATGAATTGAAGTTACATCACTTATTCTGTTTTCTAGCATAATTTTTAGTTTAGAACCATTCCCCTATTTTCCTTGCTCTCCTGCCTTTCATCTATATTCCTCAGCTTTTTAAAATACTTTCTAAAGGATTTTTTTATGTTGGCTTTTAATATGTGCTGCTTCAAATCCATTTGGAAATCGAGGCAAGAGTTATTTAATTACATTTAAATAATTGCTTTACAAATTCTGATTCATACCAAAGGTATCTAGCAAGCAAGTGCTTTTGTTTTTACTGTTTTCATATTTTTACTTGGCTTAGTTTTTTCTCATAACTATTATTCACATTCTCTATTTCATATATTACTAATATAAAAGAAATAGTAAAATATTTTTTGGCAATACCTCAGCTTATGAATGAGAAAAATTTGTTGCCTTTTATTTTTATAGAAATTATATGTATATTCTTTGCACATTTTCTAAAATGAAAATCTTTTAGTCCATAAAAAATTATGGACAATGAAAAAATTAAAAGAATTTGCATATAATTGTATTATGCAAACCAATTCCCTATTATAATTTGTTACATATTTTTCTATTTTTTTCTCTCTCTACATATATACACCTAGGTAATTTAAGAAAAATAGGATAATATTACAAATGTTGTTTGAAATTGCTTTCTTAAACAATATGCTATGGTCAACTTTTATGCTCACAATAATTATTTGTCTTATAATCTGAGTGACTTTTATGTTTTGTTCAATGACTGTACCAAAATATAACTAATTTCTTATTGATAAACTTCTTGTTGCTAGATAATTTCTTCCTTTTTTCTTCTTCCTCTGTCATAAATAACTTGGAGATTAACATCCTTGCGAACTTATATATGCAAATATATCTATTTTCTTAAGAAAATGTTTAGAAGTAGAATTAATGGTTAAAAAAGAATCAATTTTAAAAAGTAATTTTGATAAATATTGCTTAAATGCTGTCCAGAATACTTGTGGCACTTACATTTCCATTGTCATTGTAGGAGAATGCCTATTTCCATATGCTCCAAGAAACAAGGGTTTTTTTTAAGCTGTTGGTCAATTCAACATGATATGTAAAACAAACCATTTCATCATTGCTTTATTTCACTTTTGTAAATTACAAAAGTTAAACAGTATTTGTGTACTCACTGACCATTTGTATTTTCATACTTATAAGTTAATGTCTCATGATCATAATTTATTTTCCTGTTGGGGTGTTTTTTATTTACATGGATTTTTAGATTTCTTTGCATATTATGACTACATTTTAGACTTTTCCCCCTGATATTTCACTGTCTTTATAGTTTTGAAGGTTATTCCAAAATTGAATGTTAAGCTGGAAAGTTTTAGTATTCTACTGAAATGGCTTTGATGTCATGCTTCAAAATATTTTGAACACTTTAAATACATATATTCACACAAATATATATACACCCACACAATTTATCTGTATTGTGTTTATGACTTTCAGATTTTCATATTCTCAATGCTTCTAACTAAAATTTTGGTTCATAAAAAGTATCTTATATAAAACCTATAGTAAATATTTTAAAAATGTGCTTTTCCATTTTTAATAACATGTATTTTGGTAAATACTTGATTCAGAGAGCCAATGAATTAGAGTTGGCATATGAGTTTCACATAGATTCTTATACTAGGTAAGTATTTACCAAAACATGTATCAGAAGCAGAAAGTTGTTAAAAAGGTTTACCAGACAACAAGACTGGAAAGTGTATTAAGTGTGCCTGGCCTTGACATCTTGTTCTGGATAATCTAGTCTACATCTTAATTTAGGAAAGCTAATCTGTAAAACTGTTCAAATATTTGAACAATATTTGATAATGCTTACATAATCTTTCAAGATAATATCAGGAAACAGAGTTCTTTCATGTATGTAAGTAGTTAATAGGACATAACATCAGATGTCTAGATGAATTATAGCTATGGCTTAATTACACAATAATCTGCCTTCTTAGTAGAAATTGCTTATTTCCAGCATTTGCTGTAAAAAAAAAAAAGACAGTCAGTTTACAAAAATATACAATCCTATGGATTTAATTTATTTAAATTTTGTTCATTCTAATTTTTTTTGGTGCGTGATAATAGCAAGTTATCTTAGTTGAAAATAGAGATTCATTCATTAAAGAATATTAAATCTTTTGTGCCCAAGTGCCTTAATAAATAAGTAGAATCTTAACTTTTCTGATAAGCATTCCAGTAAAAGCTAATGTACATAGATATGCCTTGAGCCACTGTTTCTACTTTCACCCTTCTCTCCACACATATTGCCACGTCTGCTGTGTAGTTACCTGCTTACATGTACAGCCATTTCAATAAATGTATTCTTTTAACATTTTATCTTTTAAATTTCAAATAGGAATTTATAGTTGGTAAAAATAAAAATTTTAAAGTGATTTAATATTGTCATTTTCATGTTCTCAATATTGTTATAGATCCACTGAGAAAATGTCAAATAAAATCTAATATTTCAAAGGTGAAAGCATGTTTGAAAATGATTTTTATTTATTATAAAGTATTTCTGATTTTCCAAAGACCAGTTATCTTAAGAATGAACTGAAAATTACTTGTGTTTTTAGTGAAATACTTGTATTTCAGGTTTTCAAGGACAATTTCTTTATGAACTAGTATTTCTTTTTTAAGTTACTCATAATTATGAACTCACAGTTGAAAACAAAACACTAACAAGTTTTAATGAGGAATAATTAACTATTTTAAAGACATTTCTGAATTTATTGTTAAATTCAACTAACCTGTCAAGTGCTTAGAATTGACTTACTCATAGTACATTTGGAAATATGCCCCATAATATAATTTTAAAAATATATATAATAAAACAATAGAGTAAAAATATAATTTTAAAAAATCTACACTTTCAAAAGTAGAACAAATTAAATACCCTCACGATACTTTTGACATATATGTATCTCCCAAGTGCATGTGTACTCAAATCTGAGTTACACATACATTTGGATCTGAATTTGTTAAAGTCAGATTATTTTGCAGGTTTGCCCAGAGGAAATATGTATAATTAAGTGTTGGTTTTGTCTCATGGTCTTGTCATATTTTGGAGTTCACAGAATGCTCTGAACTAAATTGTAGTTGCCCTGAATGAAACAATTGAATCCAAATGAGAAGGAAATTTATCTTCTTAGTGGCATTCTTAACTGTAGTAGAGAAAACACCTTAACTTCTGAGAGAGATTCATAATTTGTACAATGATATTCCATCAGATTTTGTTAACCCATTTATATTTACATCACCTTAGATATTTTAAAAATCCTTATTTTAAAGTTTTGCCAAACACTAATAGCACATTTGAGTTGCGAAGGCAATATCACTGAAGTGGCAGATATAATTATTGTTTTTTTTGCATTCAGTGAATATCAGTCATAATTCATTTTTTGTTTTTACAATCAGTATCTCCAGTGGAATTTTCTTATTTCAGGAAGCCATGTCTAATGGTATTGTAGGGCATCACAATTTTGATTTACATTTAATTTCAACTTTGTACATGTGCTAGTGGCAGCCAATATTAATTCCTTGAAGTTAAAGTAAACCTTTATAATAGTAGTTCCAGCAAATCTTTGTTAATCAAAGACATGCCTCAATTTGAATGCAAGGCAAATCTTAGAATTATAACTAGATTGTTTTGACACATTATTATTTTACTGAATTACCATAGGAAGCATTAGAAGCCTAGTATTATTCACCACTCTAGTCACTAACATTTTATATATAGTTTGTATACAAATGACATTTATATTGTATAGATTGCAATTGGCAAAAGGCCATCAGTTATATGGTAATCCAAGTTTTAATATTTATTTTGATTTTAATTAAAAAGATATTGGTAAATGCCTATTTGATCATATCATTCTTCTCCTTAAAAACCTTTCATGGCCTTCCATTACTCTTAAAATCAGGTATAAATATTTACCGTGTCCTAGGATTCCTTGCATTCTGGTCCTTGTGTATTCTTTAAAACTTTTCTTGTGCTACTATTTCCCTTTGTCAATATACTGGAAATTAATTGGTCTTGTTTCAACTCTTTTAAAACTGTCAGGATAGTTCCTGCCTCACTAAAAGCTTTAACCTTTTAACAGATAGAAGGCTGTGTACTGTACAGGTGGAACAAATCTTCCAACTGGTTTATGAAAAAATATATGGTGAAAGCATTTAATTACCTCCTAGAAAAAAGATATTATAGGTATAGGTAGCCAGGAATAGGTTTTTGTTTCAGAATTCTCAGTGTAAGTTTTATTGGTTCTGTTTATGTGATGTTCTTTTTCTTAACCAATCATTGTAACCAAGGTAATGAGATTTGCTGATTAGCTGGGGTTAGGTAACATATTCAAACGTTAAGCAAAAATATCCTTGACCGAGAAAGGTAGAGGTTGTTTTTCAAGGAAAAATCAAGATACAAGTGCCAGAAAAAGTGTGAATTGCTGTAGAATGAAACTTCCCACCCCGGCATCTGCAATACATGAGCTATTATAGATAAACTATTCTCAGTGCCTAGAATACTCTCCCTTAATTTTAATCTGACTGATTCTTGCTTATCTATTTTCAAGCACAGTCTTTTGAACTCTCAGTACTCCCATTTCCCTCTCTACTTTACTAGCATAGCACTTATTAGAGGAGCAAAATAAAACTCCTCCACCCCCAAGGCAGGCAACATAACTCTTCTTTTTTTATTAGTAGCTGGCTCATTAATTAATCCTTATTTATCAGTTGACAAACTTATTACACATAATTACCTACTCTTTTCTCTTTCTTAATACATGTGACTGGACTACTAAGCCAATATATCGCCTGAAAAGTTCTGTCTCTTTCAGGTATCTTTCACTATACAGGTGACTATAAAAGCATGAAATTCCAAATTAAGTTCAGGAAGTGATAGAAGAACATTCTTAAGTTTCAAGATCTACGCCACAGTTTTTATCCATGTTTTTTAATTCTCTAAAATTTATTTTATTGAATATTTATATGGATATAACTAACTCCTTTTTTTCTATCAGTCTAATGTTCTAATGTTTCTTTTATACCTCTCTCTAGGGACCCTTGTGGAGAGACAAGGTGTTTGGGCAAGATCTAGATATTCTTATGCTTCTGGACTTGCTAATATCAGAAGCCATCCAAACCAGACTAGATTAAATATTGATGCCCAACATGGACTTGGGCTCATATACACAGTATAGAATTTGGGAGCCAAATTGAAATATGTAAATGATCTTCTTTTCAAAATGGAAATACTTTTCTTTCTTTCAAGAGACAGGAAAGTCTCCCTATAGGATGTTAACCTACAAAAACTGATACCTTTTTTCAAAATTAGATCACATATGGTGTTACAGGGAGAAAAAGAGTAAGTCTCTTGGAAAAGCTGGGGAGGATCACCTTCAAATATTTATATTTTTAAAAAATATATTATTTTAAGTAATAGCTCATTCTTCACATTTCTGCTTTTTTGTATTTTAGGATATAGGATGGGTATATTTATTTGTGGGATATCTGATCTTATTCTAGAAGGACCATTTGAAAGAAGCTCTGTTGCATAATAAAAAAAAAAGTAAAGTAAGTTTCAACTCTTTAAAAAGATGAAGTAGGGGATAGGGAGGAATATTCAGTAGAAAATCACTGCTTCTTACTGAATCTTTTATCGGGTATTGGCTTACAAAGTGCATACACTACGGCAGCACAAAACTAGAACACTATAGGCAAAAACAAAGTTGGGCAAATCAACATATTGATGAGGGACATTCATTTAGGTAATTTTTTATTATTTAGAACTTATGTTAAAGAGGTAATATCCACAATAGAAAATTGCAGAAATTTTAAGCATATAACTTAATGAATGATTAAAGTATGTATTTTTTGTAACTACCACTCAAGTCAAGAAATAGAACATTACCTGTACCCCTCCAACTCTCTCCCAAGCACTTGTCTATCTCACTTATTCAAATATAAACTCTATCTTGACTTCAGATTCTAAAGATTAATCTTGATTACCTTAAACTTTATTCAAATTGATTCATACAGCATGAATCCTCTTGTGTCACATACTTTTACTCAGCGTATTTTAGTGAGATTCATTTCATACTACTGAGTTTAGTAGTAGTGTACTTATTGTCATCATCATATTCTTCTGTTGTGTGACTGTATGACAAATTATTTATTCTTTCACCATGAATAAACATTTGGGTTGCTTTTGTGTTAGAACAATAACAAGTAATGCCACTATAAAAATTATCATAGATGTCTTTCTTTTTGATTGAGATATAATTCAGATAGTATAAATTTATTTTCAAGTATAAATTTACTGGTTTTTAATGTACTCACAAGATTGTGCAAAATCACCGCTATTTAATTTTGGGACATTTCCATCACCTCACAACAAAACTTCAGGCCAAGGAGCAGTCGCTTCCCAGTCTCATCTCTCCACAGCCTCTGGCAACAATAATATAGTCTGTGTCTCTAGGGATTTGTATATTCTGGACCTTTCATATGTACATATATATAGTATAAGTAGTATTATATAATATATGATCTTCTGTTTCTGCCTTCTTTCACTTAATGTTTTAAAGTTTCATCCATGTTGGAGCATGTATCAGCACTTAATTTCTCTTTATGACTGTATAATATTCATTTGTGTGAATACACCACATTTTGTTTATTCATATATCACTTGATGGACATTTGGAATGTTTCTACTCTGGCTGTAATGAATACTACTGCTATGAACATTCAAGTACAGGATTTTATATGAATAAATGTGTTCAGTTCTCTCGGTTATATTAATAGACAAAGACAGTTTCTCATTGTCATTATCAATTTTATTCATCTTCTCAAAAAACCAAGTTTTGGCTTCATTCACTTTTTCTATTGTTTTTCTATTCTTAATTTTGTTTGTTTCTGATGTAATCTTTACCATTCCCTTTTTATTTATTTATTTATTTATTTTTGCTTGCTTTGGGTTAGTGTCCTTTTTTATGTGTATTTTCTTAAGATGAGAAGTTAGGATATTGATTTGAAAATTTTCCTCTTTTTTAATATAAATATTCACAGCTATACATGCCCTTCAGCACGGCTTTAGGGTCAACCAATATGTTGGTGTGTTGTGTTTTTGTTTTCATTGATCTTAAACTGCTTTGGTATGTGTTTTGTTTTCATTGAAACCAAAGTATTTTCTAATTTCCCTTTTGATTTCTTCTTTGACTCATTGGTGATTTAGGAGTTTGTTTTTAACTTCTATATATTTGTATATTTCCCAAATTATTTCCTGATATTAATTTATAATATCATTCCATTGTGGTTGGTGAGCATACTTTGTATTATTTCAATCCTTTTTTAAATTTATTGAGACTTACTTTATAGCTAACATGTGGCATATTCTGAGGAATGCTTCATGTGTACTTGAGAAGAACTGTGCATTCTGCTGTTATTGGCTGGAGTACTCTATAGATATGTGTTAGGTGTAGTTGGTATATACTGTTGTTCCAGTCATGTATTTCCTTTTTAATTTTCCGTCTGGTTGAAACACATAGAATAAGCAAGCAAAATATCAGTTAAGATATAGAGTAGGACAAATGGATCCAATTGGTATATATAGAATCAAGAGAAAACAACTGCAGAACACGTTAGTTTTATGTATAAGTGGAGTATTTTCAACTATATACCCAATAATAAGCCATAAACATAGCCACAATACATTTCAAGAGATGAATATCATACTGAATATTTCTACTGACAATTATGCAATTCAACTAGGGATCAAGAAGAATATATAACTAGAAAATCCTTACAGATTCAGAAATCAAGAGATACACTGAAAGCACAGTGGACATTTAAAATATTTTGAATTGAGGCTGAGTGCAGAGCCTCACGCCTGTAATCCCAGCACATTGGGAGGCCGAGGTGGGCAGATTACCTGAGGTCAGGAGTTAGAGACCAGCCTGGCCAATGTGGAGAAGCCCCATCTCTACTAAAAATATAAAAATCAGCTAGGCGTGGTGAGGTGCACCTGTAACTGCAGCTACTGGGGAGGCTGAGGCAAGATAATGGCTTGAACCTGGAAGGCAAAGGTTGCAGTGAGCCGAGATTTCACCACACCTCTCCAGCCTGGGTGACAGAGCGAGACTCTGTCTCCAGATATTCATATGTATATATATATGAATTGAGTATTGTACAATGATTATATAAACTATCCAAACTTATGAGAAGTATTATAGTCATGCTTTATGATTTATTTGTAGTCTTAAAATGTATATATTAGAAAAGAAAATGTTGAAGAAATGAGCTAAGTGTTCATCTCCAGAAATTGGGGAAAGGACAGGAATTAGAATAAAGTAGAAGAAAATTAAGAATAAAAATTAAAGAATTAGAAAAAAGAAAGCCCCAAACCACACAAGAACTGAAGGGTACCTATACAAGTCTGTTAAAAACATGAGAGATTCTAATTCAATCTGTAAGTTGCTTCAGAGTTACCACATTATTCTAACAACAACTAAAAAATTTAACAGACTGAAAAATCAACAACTCTTAGATATGTCAGAGAAGTATGTGTCAGGACAAACCACTATATCCAAAATTAGAGAGGCAGATAGACAGATAAAGAGAATCACAGTTTAGCAGAACAGAGGCTCACAAGCAGAAACCTGTATGGTAACCAGTACTCAAGTAGGAAAATATAAACTGTAACTGTATTGCTGATGGCTTAATGCAGATAAGCCTGAGAGATCAAAACTGCAGGCAGACAAAGTCCTTGGGGGTTCCCACACTTTTGTGAGTTTTACTTTCCGGAGCTTTCCCAGGAGCAGTCCCAGTTTCTCACAGTGAAAAACAGAGTAAAATTATTTTATGGTTCTTACCAGGTAAGGGGAAGACAGTATTTTGTTATACTTAATAAGGCCTACCCTCAAGAGAAACTATTTTCCCAGAGCCTAACCTAGGGGGTTTTGTTAGACCTTGACCAAATCAGGGGAAAGTAAATACACAATTCCAGTCAACTCTAGTTATTCCATACGAAGGAAGGGTTTGAAAAATGAAAACAAAACCAACAAAAAGAAAAATGAAAGCATTTATGAAGTTCATAGTGCAAGAGCACAGACTCACTAAAAGACAGAAATCTAATCATAAGACTACAGGATGCTTCCCTTCCACCCACATCTTACCACTTACATTACTAAAGGCCTAGGTACCACAGTTCTTTTTACCATGTGTGTGTAAAAAGAATACACACACACACACATTATATATGTGAATGTATATACACATGGTAAAAGAAACTGTATATATATACACACATATACACCATTTATACCATGTATATATGTATGTACATGTATGTATACCATGTATATATGTATGTATACATATATACCATATATACCATGTATATGTGTGTATGTGTGTGTACACACATCTGCCTGTCAACAAAAAAGATATATACCTGCTTGTCAACAAAGCTGTGAAATATACTAAATGGCAAAATGCAATTTGAAGAGATACAGCAAGCATCACAACCAGACTCAACTATGACAACAATGTTGGTATTATCAAATCATGAATTTAAAAAACTTTAGTGAATATGTTAAGGGCTCTAATGGAAAAAGTAGACAATATGCAAGAATAGATGGACAATGTATGCAGAGAAATGAGAATTCTAAGAAATCATCAAAAAGAAATTCAAGAGATCGAAAACACTGTAACAGAAATGAAGAATGCCTTTGATGGCCTCATTATTAGTAGATTGGATAAGGCTGAGGAGAAAATCCCTAAGCTTGAGAATCTGTTAACAAAACTTACAAAATGAAAAACACGGTGAAGAAAAAACCAAAATAAAATTATCCAAGAACTATGGGACTACAGAAGGTGTAACATACGAATAATGAAAATATTAAATGAAGAAGAAAGAGAGAATGAAACAAAAGAAATACCTGAAACAATAATGACAAGAATTTTTCAAAATTAACATCAGACAACAGATTCTGGAAGCTCCGAGAGCACTGAGCAGGATAATTAAAAGCAATACAAAACTATGCCTGGAAGTATCATATTCAAACTGCAGAAAAATAAAGACAAATATAAAGTTTTGAAAAAAGTCAGAAGAAAAAGACACCTTATCTATAGATGAGTAACTGAGTTCTTAGTAACCAAGCAAGCAAGAAGTAGAGTGAAGATTTAAAGTGTTGAGAGAAAACAAAACAAAACCAACAAACAACAACTTCTCCATCCTAGAATTTGTATTCTGCAAGATTATTCTTCAAAAGTGAAGGAGAAATGAAAACTTCCTCAAACCAAAAAAAATTGAGAGAATTTGTTGCCAGTACACCTTCCTTGCAAGAGATGTTAGAAGTTCTGCAGAGAGAAGGGAAATGTTATAAGTCAATAATTAACATCTACATAAAGAATGGGAGAGCATGGTGAAGAAATAATTGAAGGTAAAATAAAAATATGATTTATCTTCCCTTTAATTGATCTACCAAATAAAAGTTCATCCAAAGTAATTATAAAAACAATGCATCTGATTATGTATGATCATGAACTGGGCATTATGGATATTACCCACTTCATGGGCATACACTTGCCCTTGTATTACACCAGAAGTGGTAGTGTTGTTGTTGTTTTTTTAATTAGTGGACATGGATTAGTTGGAAAGTATATAGTAATCTCTAGAGCAACCACACACACACACAAACACCCCTGCACACACACACATGAAAAATTAAAGAAGTATAATGGATATGCTAAGAAAGAGAGAAAATAGAACTATGTAAAATGCTTGGTTAAAATTATAAAAGTTAGAAAAAGTCTGGAAGACATAAAAAAGGAGGGAAATCATAAGCACTAAATAAAAAATAAAAACATCATCTATATTAATGCAACTAAATAAAAATTACTTTAATCATCAGTAGTCTACAGACACCAATTAAATGACAGAAATCAGATTATATCAAAAAACAATATATCTTGTATACAAGAAACTCACTTCGAATATAAAGTCACAGTAAATTAAAAGTAAAGGAATGAAGCAAGTAAAGAGAAGAAATCTGCTAGCACTAATAAAAAGAAAGAGGGAGTATCTACATTAACATCAGACAAAGCAGACTTCAAAGTAATTTATCAGGGAAAAAAGAAGGGCATTACATAATAATAAAGGAGTCAATTCTCCAAAAATACATATTGATTCTTACTGTGTATGTGCCTGAAAACAGAGTGTCATTTACATTAGGTATATCTCCTAATGCTATCCCTCCTCCCTCCCCCCACCCCACGACAGGCCCTGGTGTCTGATGTTCCCCACCCTGTGTCCAAGTGTTCTCATTGCTCAGTTCCCACCTATGAGTGAGAACATGTGGTGTTTGGCTTTCTGTCCTTGCGATACTTTGCTTAGAATGATGGTTTCCAGCTTCATCCATGTCCCTACAAAGGACATGAACTCATCCTTTTTTATGGCTGAATAGTATTCCATGGTGTATATGTGCCAAATTTTCTTAATCCAGTCTATCATTGATGGACATTTAGGTTGGTTCCAAGTCTTTGCTATTGTGAATAGTGCCACAATAACCATACGTGTGTCTACGTTTTTATAGCAGCAGGATTTATAATCCTTTGGTTATATGTCCCGTAATGGGATGGCTGGGTCAAATGGTATTTCTAGTTCTAGATCCTTGAGGAATTGCCACACTGTCTTCCGCAATGGTTGAAGTAGTTTACAGTCCCACCGACAGTGTAAAAGCATTCCTATTTCTCCACATCCTCTCCAGCACCTGTTGTTTCCTGACTGTTTAATGATTGCCATTCTAACTGGTGTGAGATGGTATCTCATTGTGGTTTTGATTTGCATTTCTCTGATGGCCAGTGATGATAAACATTTTTTCATGAGTCTGTTGGCTGCATAAATGTCTTCTTTTGAGGAGTTTCTGTTCATATCCTTTGCCCACTTTTTGATGGGGTTGTTTGATTTTTTCATGTAAATTTGTTTAAGTTCTTTGTAGATTCTGGATATTAGCCCTCTGTCAGATGGGTAGATTGCAAAAATTTTTTCCCATTCTGTAGGTTGCCTGTTCACGCTGATGGTAGTTTCTTTTGCTGTGCAGAAGCTCTTTAGTTTAATTAGATCCCATTTGTCAATTTTGGCTTTCGTTGCCATTGCTTTTGGTGTTTTAGTCATGAAGTCCTTGCCCATGCCTATGTCCTGAATGGTATTTCATAGGTTTTCTTCTAGGGTTTTTATGGTTTTAGGTCTAACATTTAAGTCTTTAATCCATTTTGAATTAATTTTTGTATAAGATGTAAGGAAGGGATCCAGTTTCAGCTTTCTACATATGGCTAGCCAGTTTTCCCAGCACCATTTATTAAATAGGGAATCTTTTCCCCATTTCTTGTTTTTGTCAGGTTTGTCAAAGATCAGATGGTTGTGGATGTGTGTGGTATTATTTCCAGGGACTCTATTCTGTTCCATTGGTCTATATCTCTGTTTTGGTACCAGTACCATGCTGTTTTGGTTACTGTAGCCTTGTAGTATAGTTTGAAGTCAGGTAGCAGCATGATGCCTCCAGCTTTGTTCTTTTGGCTTAGGATTGTCTTGGAAATATGGGCTCTTTTTTGGTTCCATATGAACTTTAAAGTAGCTTTTTCCATTTCTGTGAAGAAAGTCATTGGTAGCTTGATGGGGATGGCATTGAATCTGTAAATTACCTTGGACAGTATGGCCATTTTCACAATATTGATTCTTTTTATCCATGAGCATGGAATGTTCTTCCATTTGTTTGTGTCCTCTTTTATTTCTTTGAGCAGTGGTTTGTATTTCTCCTTGAAGAGGTCCTTCACCTCCCTTGTAAGTTGGATTCGTAGGTATTTTATTGTCTTTGTAGCAATTGTGAATGGGAGTTCACTCATGATTTGGCCCTCTGTTTGTTTGTTATTGGTGTATAGGAATGCTTGTGATTTTTGCACATTGGTTTTGTATTCTGAGACTTTGCTGAAGTTGCTTATCAGCTTAAGGAGATTTTGGGTTGAGACGATGGGGTTTTCTAAAGATACAATCATGTCATCTGCAAACAGGGACAATTTGACTTCCTCTTTTCCTAACTGAAACCCTTTATTTATTTATCTTGCCTGATTGCCCTGGCCAGAACTTCCAACACTATGTTGAATAGGAGTGGTGAGAGAGGGCATCTCTGTCTTGTGCCTGTTTTCAAAGGGAATGCTTCCAGTTTTTGCCCCTTCAGTATGATATTGGCTGTGGGTTTATCATAAATAGCTCTTATTATTTTGAGATATGTCCTATCAATACCTAGTTTATTGAGAGTTTTTAGCATGAAGGCTGTTGAATTTTGTCGAAGGCCTTTTCTGCATCTATTGAGATAATCATGTGGTTTTTGTCTTTGGTTCTGTTTATATGATGGATTACGTTTATTGATTTCCCTATGTTGAACCAGCCTTGCATGCCAGGGATGAAGCCAAGTTGATTGTGGTAGATAAGCTTTTTGATGTGCTGCTGGATCCGGTTTGCCAGTATTTTATTGAGGATTTTTGCATTGATGTTCATCAGGGATATTGGTCTAAAATTCTCTTTTTTTTGTTGTGGAGAGTGACATGACTATTTAGATACCACACCAAAGACACAATTCGTGCAAAGTAATAGATAAGCTGGAATATATTGAAAAATTCTGCTTGACAAAATATATTGTCAAGAGAATGAGAAGACAAGTTACACAATGAGAAAGACACCTGATAAAGGATTATTATCCAGAATATAGAAAGAACTATTAAAACTCAACAATAAGCAAGTGAATTACCTGATTTAAAAAATAGGCAGAAGACATCTCAAGAAAGGAGATATACAGATGGTGAATAAGCATATGAACAGCTGTAAGTAGAGACTCACAAATAAAAATAACAGTGCAGTATCATTACAAACTTATTAGAATAGCCAAAATCCAAAACACTGAGAACATCAAATTCCAAAAGGGATGTATAACAATAGGAACTCTCATTCCTTACTTGTGAGGATGCAAAATGGTACAGCCATTTTGTAAGAGAGTTTTGTAGTTTATTCCATAACTAAACATATTTCTACCATATTATTCAGAAATCACAATCCTTGGTATCTACACAAAGGAGTGAAAAGTTATGTCCACACCAAGGTGCCCTTCAGTAGGTGAATGGAGAAATACACTGTGGTACTGTGGTGATACATGCACACAGTGAAATATTCAGCACTAAAACAAAATGAGCTGTCAAGCCATGAAAAGATATGGAGGAATCTTAAATGAATATTATGAAGTGAAAGAAGCCAATCTGAAATGGCTATGTACAGTATAATTCCAACTATATGACATTCTGGAAAAGGTAAAAGTGTGGAGATAATAAAATCAGTGGTTGCCAGTGGTGGTGGGGAGGAAGCCCAGTCTGTTGCTTGTCTTTCTGTGATCTCTAAAATCATATTTTACATTTAGATATACAATCCACTTGGAATTTTTTTTGTTATGATGAAATGTCAGAGTGGTGTGTCTTACTTTTTCTATTTAGACATTCAGCAGATTCAGTACTGTTTATTGAAAAGTTTAGCCTTTTCCTGCAGTATCCCAAAATGATATAGTGCCATAAATCAGATCCCCCTATTTGTTCTATGTTTGGGTCAGTCTCTGGTTTCTGTTCCATTAGTCTGGTTAACCAGTCTATCCTCTGCCAGTGTCATACACTCTTTATTACTTGATAAGATGTCTTCATTTCAGAGAGTGGGAATCTTCCATCTTTTTCTTCTTACTTAAGATTGTCTTGATTATTCTTGGCCCTATGAATATCCATAGATATGATGAAATCAACTTGTTAAGTTCTACAATCGCACTCAATCAACTTGTTAAGTTCTACACACACACACACACACGCACACACACAATCTTTTAGGGATTTTATTGCAATCATGGCTTTTTTTGATACATTTAAGGAGAATTAAAATCCTTAAAATATAGCCTTCTAATCAATGAAAATAAATATCAATTTATTGGTCTTCTTCTTTTTCAACAATATTTTATAGATTTTGTGTAGAATTCTTGCATATCTTTATTAGTTTTATTCTTAGATGCATGATATTTCTAAGTTTCTATAAAACACTTAATACTAATTCCTGTTTTTAACAAATATATGGAAACACATTTACTTCTAACTTTTATTTTAAGTTTTGGTGTACATTTGCAGGTAACTTCCAGGTGTGCATGTATAGGTACATATATAGGTAAATTTTGTGTCTCAGGGGTTTGGTGTTCAGATTATTTTGTCACCCAGGTAATAAGCATGGTACCTTATTGGTAGTTTTTTTTTTTACCCTCTTCCTCCTCCCACCCTCCACCTTCAAGTAGGCCCCCGTGTCTGTTGTTCCCTTCTTTGTGTCCATATGTACTCAAAGTTTATTTCCCACTTATAAGTGAGAACGTACGATATCCGGTTTTCTGTTTATGCTTTACTTCACTTAGGATAATGGCCTCCAGCTCCATCTATGTTGCAACAGAGGACATGATCTCATTCTTTTTTATGGCTGCATAGTATTCCATTGTGTATAGGTACCATATTTTCTTTTATCCACTCTACCATTGATGAGCATTTGGGTGGATTCCATGTCTTTGCTATCATGAATAGTGCTGCAGTGAACATTTGCATGCTATTGTCTTTGTGTTAGAATAATTTATATTCATTTGGGTATATACCCAATAATGGGATTGCTGGGTTGAATGGTAATTCTGTTTTAGGTTCTTTGAGAAATTCCCATACTGCTTTCCACATAGCTGAACTAATTTACATTCCCACAAGCAGTGCATAAGTGTTCCCTTTTCTCCACAGCCTCACAAACATCTGTTATTTTGTGACTTTTTAATAATACTCATTTTCACTGGTATAAGATGCTTTCTCATTGTGGTTTTGATTTGAATTTCCCTAAAGATTAGTGATGTTGAGCATTTTCCTATATGCTTGTTGGCCATGTGTATGTCTTTTTTTGAACAGTGTCTCTTTATGTCCTTTGCCCATCTTTTAATGGGGTTGTTTAGTTTTTGCTTGTAAATTTGTTTACATTATTTATAGATTCTGGATATTAGACCTCTGTTGGATTAGTAGTTTGCAAATATTTTCTCCTATTCTGTGGGTTGTCTTGTCTGTTATTCTGTTGATAGTTTCTTTTCCTGTGCAAAAACTCTTTAGTTTAATTACATCCCATTTGTCAATTTTTGTTTTTGTTGCAATTGCTTTTGGTGTGTTGATAATGAAATTTTTGCTAGGTCCTATGTCCAGAATGGTACTTCCTAGGTTATTTTCCAGGGTTTTTATAGTTTTGGGCTTTACATATAAGTCCTTAATCCATCTTGAGTTGATTTTTGTATATGACGTAAGGAAAGGGTCCAGTTTCAATCTTCTGCATATGACTAGACAGTTATCCCAGCACCATTTATATAATAGAGTCCCTTCCCTCTTGCTTAATTTTGTTGAAGATCAGATGGTTGTAAGTGTGTGGTATTATTTCTGGGCTCTCTATTATGTTCCACTGGTCTATGTGTCTGTTTTTGTACCAGTGTCATGCTGTTTTGGTTACTATAGCCTTGTAGTATAGTTTGAAGTTGGGCAATGTGATGCTTTCAGCTTTTTTCTTTTTACTTAGGCTTTTATTAAGGCTCTTTTATAGTTTAATGTGAATTTTTAGATAGTTTTTTTGTTTTTGTTTTTTTAGTTCTATGAAGAATGTCTTTGGTAGTTTGATATGTATAGCACAGAATATGCAAATTGCTTTGGGAGTTTTTTAATTTTTGTTTTTTTTTTTTACTTCTGTGAAGAATGTCTTTAGTAGTTTGATGTGTATAGCATTGAATATGTCAATTGCTTTGGGCATTTTAACAATATTGATACTTCCTATCTATGAGCATGGAATGTTTTTCCATTTGTTTGTGTTATCTGTGTTTTATTTAAGTAGCATCTTGTAATTCTCGTTGTAGAGATATTTTACCTTGCCGGTTAGCTGTATTCCTAGGTATTTTATTCTTTTTGTGGCAATTGTGAATGGAATTTTGTTCCTGATTTGGCTCTCAGCTTGGATGTTTCTGTTGTATATGAATGCTACTGATTTTTATATATTGATTTTGTATCCTGAAACTTTGCTGAAGTAGTTTATCATATCTAGGAGCTTTGGGGCAGAGACTATGGTGTTTTCTAGGTATAGAAACATATTGTATGAATTACAGGGATAGTTTGTCTTTTTCTCTTCCTATTTGGATGCCTTTTGTTTCTTAGTCTTGCCTGATTACTTTGGCTAAGATATCTAGCACTATGTTGAGTAGGAGTGGTGAGAAAGGGCAACCTTGTTTTGTTCCAGTTTTCAAGGGGAATGCATCCAGCTTTTGCCATTCAGTATGATGTTAGCAATGGGTTTATCATAGATGGCTCTTACTGTTTTGAGGTATGTCCCTTTAATGCCTAGTCTGTTGGGGGTATTTAACATAAAGGGATATTAAATTTTATTGAAAGCCTTTTCTACATCTGTTGAGATGGTTATGTGGTTTTTGCTTTTAGTTCTGTTTATGTGGTGAAGTACATTTATTGATTTGCATATGTTGAACCAACTTTGCATCACTGGGATAAAGCCTAACTGATCCTTGTGGATTAACTTTTTGAATTGCTACTAAATTTGGTTTGCTTGTGTTTTATTGAGGATTTTTGCACTTATGTTCATGAGGAATATTGAACTTCTGTTATTTTGTTATGTCTCTGCCAAGTTTTGTATCAGAATGATGCTGACCTCGTAGAGTTAGGGAGGATTCTCACCTCCTCAATTTTTTGGAATAGTTTCAGTAGGAATGTTACCACCTCTCCTTTATTTATCTCGTAGAAGTGGGTTATGGATTATTCTGGCCCTGAACTTTTTCTGGTTGGTAGGCATTTTATTACTGATCCTATTCTGGAACTTATTATTGATCTGTTCAAGGATTCAATATCTTACCGGTTCAAACTTGGGAGGCTGTATGTTTCCAGGAATTTATCCATTTTCTCTAAATTTTCTAGCTTGTGTACACAGAGGTTTTTATAATAATCTCTGAGGGTTTTTTTGT
The DNA here is from genome assembly GCF_000001405.40 of Homo sapiens. NCBI lineage: Eukaryota > Metazoa > Chordata > Mammalia > Primates > Hominidae > Homo > Homo sapiens. The sequence goes on along the minus strand of NC_000004.12, from coordinate 134,180,719 downwards.
GTTTCTGTAAGGTCAACTGTACATCCTCTTTGTCTTTTCTGCTTGTATTTATTTGGATCATCTCTCTTTTTCTCCTTTATTAGTCTAGCTAGAGGTCTATCTATCATTAATATTTTGAAAGAATCAGCTCCTAGATTCACTGATCTCTTGTATGATTTTTTGCATCTCAGTTTCCTCTGGTCAGCTCTAACTTTGGTTATTTCTTGTCTTCTGCTAGTCTTGGAGTTGGTTTGCTCTTGTTTCTCTAATTGTGATATTAGGTTGTCAATTTGAGATCTGTCTAACTTTTTAATGTTGGTGTTTAGTGCTATAAACTTCCCTCTTAAAACTACTTTGGCTTTGTACTAGAGATTCTGGTGTGTTGTATTTTTTTTTCTGATTAATTTCAAATAATTCTTTGAATTCTGCCTTTATTTCATTATTTACCCAAAAGTCATTCAAAAGCCAAGTTTTTAAGTTTCCATATTATTGTATTGAGTGATTTTCTTAGCATTGATTTCTATTTTATTGCACTGTGGTATGAGATCCTGGTTGGTATGATTTTGTTTTTTATGAATTTGCTGAGGATTGTTTTATGCCCAATTCTGTGGACAATTTTACAGTATGTGCCATGTGGCAATGATAATAGTGTATATTCTGTTTTTGGATGAAGAGTCCTGTTGATGTGTATTAGAACCATTTTGTCTGGTGTGGAGTTCAGGTCACAAATACCTTTGTTAGTTTTCTGCCTTGATGATCTGTCTAATACTGTCTAATCCTGTCAATAATGTGTTAAAGTATCCCACAGTTATTGTGTGGTTATCTAAGTATCTTAATAGGTCTTCGTAACTTGTGTTATGAATCTGGGTGCTCCTGTGTTAGGTGTGTATATGTGCAGGATAGTTAAGTCCTCTTGTTGAATCAAGGCCTTTACCATTAGGTAATGCATTTTTTTTTGCCTTTTTTGATTTTTGTTGATTTAAAGTATCTTTAAACCAATTAGAATAGCAGCCCCTGCCTCTTTATGTTTTGCATTCACTTGCTAGATTTTTTTCTATCCCTTTACTTTGAGCCTATAGGTGTCATTGCATGTGAGATGGTGCTACTGAAGGCAACATGCTGTTTGGTTTCCCATTTTTATCCAGCTTGCCACTCTTTGCCTTTCAATTGTGGCATTTAGCTCATTTACATTCAAAGTTACCATTGATATGTGTGAATTTGATTCTGTCATCATGTTGTTAGCTGGATATTATGCAGACTTCTTTGTGTGGCTGTTTTACAGTGTCACTGGTCTATGTACTTAAGTGTGTTTTTGTAGTGGGCAGTAAAGGTCTTTCTTTTCCATATTTAGCACTCCCTTCAGGATCTCTTGTAAGGCAGATCTGCTGGCAATGAATTCCCTTAGCATTTACTTATCTGAAAAGGATCTTATTTCTTCTTTACTTGGCTGGATATGAAATTCTTGGTTGAAATTTTTTTTTCTTTTAAGAATGCTGAATATTGGCCCCCAGTTTTATCTGGCTCATAGAGTTTCTGTTGACAGGTCTGCTGTTTGCCCGATGGGATTTCCTTTGTATGTGACCTGCCCCTTCTTTCTAGTGCTCTTTAACATTTTTTCTTTCATTTTGACCTTTGAAAATCTAATGACTATGTGACTTGAGGATTGTCTTCTTATTTAGTATTTTGAGGGATTCTCTGTATTTCCTCAATATTTGAATGTTGGCCTCTCTGGTGAGGTTGGGAAAATTTTCATGGACAGTATCCTGAAATATGTGTTTTAAGTTGCTTAGTTCTCTTCCTCTCTCTCAGGGATGCCAGTGAGTCATAAATTTGGTGTTTTTACATAATCCCATTTTTTTCCTCAGATGTTTTATTCAGTCTTTATTGTTTTTTCTTCATTTTTGTCTTTCTGAGTTATTTCAAAGGATCAGTTTTCAAGCTCTGAAATTCTTTTCTCAACTCAGTTGATACTGCTGTTAATACTTGAGACTGTTTTATAAAATTTTTCTAGTGTATTTTTCAGCTCTTTCAGAACTGTTTAGTACTTTCTTATAATGACCATTTGATTTTTCAACTCCTGTATTGTTTTATTGTAATCCTTAGATTTCTTGGTTTGGGTTTCAACTATCTCCTGTAAGTTGATGATTTTCATTCCTGTTCTTATTCTGAATTCTATTTCTGACATTTTAGCCATTTCAGCTTGGTTAAGAACCATTGCTGGTGAACGAGTGCAATCATTTGGAGGTAAAAAAACACTCTGGCTTTTTGAGTTGCCAGAGTTGTTGTGCTGGGTTTTTTCTCATTTGTGTGGGCTGATGTTTGTTCAGCCTTGAAGTTACTGTCCTTGTGGGGATTTTTTTTTTTTTTTTTTTTTTGCTTTTTTCTTTTTTAATACCCTTGAGGGGTTAATTATGGTATATGGTGTGTTTGGTTTACTCACTTCAATTCTAGTTCATTCCTGGTCTTGGAGGAACCTCCTCCACTAACTCTCCATGCCCACATTTCTTATGTGGGGTGTTCTGCTTCGTGAGTTCTCACAGGCAGGGGCCTGAGTTAGCGAACAAGCTATATCCTTGTGAGGTCAGCCCTAATCTGCTATATGTATGCCTCCTGGGGAAATACAAGGTTGTGCCTGCCCTCAGACAGAAGTAGGTAGAAGTAGGACCACTGGGCTGGAAGCTCTAGCAGGCATGGCTTTCCTGGCTACCAGAAATAGGGATGGGTGGGGATGCCTGCCTTGCTGTCTAGGCCTTTCCTGAGACACAGGAAACTGTGCCTTCTAGCTGAGTTTACACAGAATCAGGGTTGCTAGGCTGGAAATTCTAGCAAGTGTTGCCTGCTTGGCTATTAATGGTGGGGGAGGGTGGGGTCATGAGCCCTGCACTCTGGGTGTTTCCTGGGACAACAGGAGGCTGCATTCATCAGCTGAGTTCATGCAGAACCAGGAGCACCATGCTAGAGGCTGTGGCAGGCCTGCCTACCTGGTTACCTCTGGTAGGGCCAGGTGGTGTCATGTGCTCTGACATCTGGATGTTTCCTAGGGGACAATATAAAGATGTGCTTACCAGATGAGTTCACATAGAAGTTGTGCTTACCAGATGAGTTCACATAGAAGTGGAACTGCGGGCTAGAAGCTCTAGCAAGCATTGCCTGCCTGGTTACCAGTAGTGAGGGCCGGTGTGGTCACCAACTCTGTTGTCTGGGTGTTTTCTGAGACAACAGGAAGATGTGCCCTCCAACTGAGTTCACACAGAAGTGGGACTGCTGGGTTGGGCACGGTGGCTCATGCCTGTAATCCCAGCACTTTTGGAGGCCGAGGTGGGCGGATCGCAAGTTCAAGAGATCAAGACTATCCTGGCCAATATGGTGAAACCCCGTCTCTACTAAAAATACAAAAATTAGTTGGGCATGGTGGCATGCACCTGTAGTCCCAGCTGTTGGGAGGCCAAAGCAGGAGAATTGAACCCAGGAGGTGGAGGCTGCAGTGAGCCAAGATCCTGCCACTGCACTCCAGCCTGGTGACAGCTAGACTACGTCTAAAAAAAAAAAAAAAAGAAAAGAAAAGAAAAAAGGGATGGCTGGGATAGAAGCTCTAGCAGGGGTTGTCCATGTAGTTATCAGTGGTGGGGGTGTGGCAGGAGTGGGCAGGCAAGTTTGGGCCTAAGCAGGACCACTGGGCTGGAAGCTGCCACCAAGCCCTATCCGGAAAGGGCGGTGCAACAATCTCACTGCTCCAAGTCACCACAATTGGTGACTCTATTGGGGTTGTGGCCACCAGTATAGGTCTGCTGCAGGGCTCAAGGCTTGTAAAGTTTCCTTGGACTTGTGAGTTGCCCCTGCAAAACATCCAGGTGGCTCTTTGCCTCAGTTTAGAAGTGCAGTGGGGGTATGGGGGCGCCAGGGGGATTCTCTTATTCCCAGTCTTACACAGGTCCCTGTGGAGAGCATGAATCACCCTGGGCACCCTTACTTACCCTTTCCTATGTCAGAGAGGTTCTCCTGGCTTCGTGTTGAGCCCAAACATGCTAGCACCCAGCTTTTCTCCCCTCTGTTCTGTGTCCCCCTGCTGCCTTGATGGATCCCGACGTGGTTTTTCAGATGATCGGCCTGTTGGGTTAGTGTTCACTAGCCTTTTTGTTTCCTCTCCATGAGAGAGGCACACATGTGCTGCTTCTAGTCTGCCATCTTGGCCTCACCCTAAATCTGATTATTTTTAAGTGTTTCTACATTTGCTTATTATTATTGTTATTATCATTATTATTATTTGAAGAGGCAGGGTCTCACTGTTTTGCCGAGGCTGGTCTCCAACTCCTGCGCTCAAGCAATCCTCTCAGAGGGCTGGGATTACGGGGATAAGCCACCACACCTGGCCCTACATTTACTTTAACACAACAACCAATTATCCAACATCTTTATCTTTTGAGCAGGTAGACATAACTTATTTCTATAAATGATATAAATAATAATATAGCTTATAATCATTTATCTATTAATATAACTTGAGTTTTCTATTAATTATATCATGAATAAAAATTTAATACCTTCACAGTTTCTAATATGCTGACATTTAACATGTATTTAAGAGAATAATTAACTTTAATGTTAAAGAAATAGTTTATGCAAGATGTTATTTTCTTTCTGATTTACCTCTTCAAACTGTGACCATGAGATTAGCTGAAGATTCTAGGTCACCATTCATTATGTATAGTTTCTTTCCAAAATAGTCGTAGAAATTTATCCTTAGCTTAAACATCTTTGTAAAAGCTTTATATTCTTTTCAGGAATCTGAATTTACTTGGAAAGAGTCTGCAGTTAAGACAAGACTATTTTACATTTGCAGTTTTCTATTCAATTTTTTTTCTTCTATTTGTTATATGCTCTTGCAGGTATTTTCAATTGCCTATTACTCTGCAGCCTAGGATTAGTCTCCTGTTTTCAAATTGTTTAAGGAAATCCATTTTATTAATTGCTTCTTTTAAAACTGTCAGATCAGACCAGGCACAGTGACTCACACCTGTAATCCCAGCACTTTGGGAAGCCAAGGCGGGTGAATCACATGAGGCCAGGAATTCAAGAGAAGCCTGGGCAACATGGCAAAACCCCATCTCTACTAAAAATACAAAAATTAGCCAGACGTGATGGCACATGCCTGTAATCCCAGCTACTCAGGAGGCTGAGGCAGGAGAATCGCTTGAACTCAGGAGGCGGAGGTTGCAGTGAGCCGAGATTGTGCCACTGCAATTCAGCCTGGGCGACAGAGCGAGACCCTGTCTCAAATTAATTAATTAATTGATTGATTAATTAATTAATTAATTTAAAAAATAAATTAAATTAAATTATTAAAAAAAGGTCAGATCATTTGGGTGGCATCATAATAAAACAAACCAAAACAATAACAGCTTAAATCTACAGAGGCTGACATAGCACACATGTAATTCACATTTTAATTATTTATTCTTATTTCTGTAGACATCTCACAACTCTTCAAACAAATTTGATTTCATGCTTTTCAGATTTCATACTTTTTATATCTGTTAAGATACTCAAAGCTACTTTTCGCGGGTACTTATATTTTGTCCTTAAAAGGACATGGATATGCGTGGAATTATAAAAACTATCACTGTCATGTTTTACTATGTTCTGAAGATCTGATCTTACCTCTTGCTCCCTCAATTCTGTTCTGAATGAAGGTATAGGTAGTTCCCTATGTATGTGATGTGGCCAAGTATTAAACACATGGCCATAAAATAATAAATAGGATTGCATTCTTACAATGAAACCATACTTAAAGGACAGACGTAGGAAACATGAAAAATTTACCCTACTATTTCAAAACCCGCTAAAGATTTAGAGAAAATGAGAGAAATTATAAAAACAACATCAATCAAATTTAGAAAAATCTGTAAATAAAATTAGACAAGGTGATATAAAAAATTTCTGGTCATCTTAGAAATAAATGAACTCTAAAAGGAAAAAATATATAGAAATGAAGTTTAAACAAAAAGGAGAACAATAATGAATACTTACGTAGATAATGCCAAAAGGGAAAAACCGCAGACACATATAAACATATATACACACATGCATGCACACAAATACAAACATAAATACATATACAGTCATGTGCCACATAATTATGTTTTGATCAGTGTTATATCACATGTACAATGGTGGTCCCATAAGATTCTAATAAAGCTGAAAAATTACTATCACCTGGTGTCATTGTAGCAGTCATAACATGGTTATAGCGGTCATAGCACAAGGCTTACTCATCTGTCTTTGGTGATGCTGATGTAAACACACCTACTGTCCTGGCAGTGGTGTAAAAGTATAGCACATACAATTATGTACAGTATCTAATACTTGATAATAAATATGTTACTGGTTTATGAACTTACTATACTATTTATTATTCATTTGGGATATACTTCTACTTACTATTTTTTTTTAAAGGTAACTGTAAAAACAGCCCAGCGCAATTCCTTCAGGAGTTATTTCAGAAGTAGACATTATGATAGGAGATGATAGCTCCATATATTTGATGAGATATGAGATGAGATATGGAAGTGGAACATGTTGATGTTAATGATACTGACCACGTGTAGGCCTAGGAAAATGTGTGTTGATGTCACAGATTTTAACAAAAAAAAATTAAATAGTAAAAGAAAAATAAAATGTTTTTAAAAAGAAAGAAGCTTATTGAATAAGGATATAAAGAAAGAAAATATTTTTGTACAGCTGTACTAAATATTCTGTACAATGTGTTTGTGTTTTAAGCTGTTATTACCAAAGAGCACAAAAGTTAACAAATTTAAAAGTTTAAAAGTAAAAAAGTTACAGTACCATCAGGTTAAATTTTATAAAAACATTTTATTTTTAATTACTATGGATATACAATCATTATCAATATTTATGGGGTACATGTGATATTTTGATACAAGCATAAAATGTGTAATGTTCAGATCAGGGTAATTGGCTTATGCATCAATCACCTCAAGCACTTATCATTTCTTTGTGTTACAAACATTCCAATTTCACTCTTTTAGTTTTTTTGAAATGTACAATAAATTGTTAACTATAGTTGTCTTATTTTGCTACAAAACACTGGATCATATTTCTTCTATCTAACTGTATTTTTGTACCCATTTACCATCCACTCTTCATCCTCCCTGCCAACTACCATTCCCAGCCTCTGGTAACCATCATTCTATTTTCTATCTCCATGAGTTCAGTATTTTTTATTTCCCACATATGAGTGAGAACATGTGATATTTGTCTCTTTGTGCCTGTCTTACTTAACTTAATGTCCTCCAGTTCTATTCATGTTATTGAAAATGACAGGATTTCATTTTTGTGATTATAATGTGTATATGTGCCACTTTTTAAACCCATTTATTAACTGATGGATACTTAGGTTGATTCTGTATTTTGGCTATTGTGAATAGTACTGTTACAAACATGGCAGTGCAAATATCTCTTTGATATACAGATTTCCTTTCTTTTGGATATATGCCCACCAGTGGGTTTGCTGGATCGTATGGTAGTTCTATTTTCAGTTTCTTTTTTTTTTTTTTTTTTTTTGAGGAATCTCCACAGTGTTCTCCATAGTAGCTCTTCTAATTTAAATTTTCATCACCAGTGTACAAGAGTTTCTCTTTCTCCACATCCTCATCAGCATTTGTTATTGCCTGTCTTTTTGATAAAAGCTGTTTTAACTGGGTGAGATGACATCTCCTTGTAGTTTTTATATGCATCTATCTAATGATTAATGATGTTGAACATTTTTTCATAAAACTGTTGGTCATTTGTTTGTCTTCTTTTAAGAAATGTCTGCTCATACCTTTTATCCATTTTTGTACTATAATTTGAAGTCAGGTAATGTGATGCCTGAAGCTTTGTTCTATTTTGCTCTGTAATTCCATATATATTTTAATATTTTTTATATTTCTGTGAAGGATATTATTGGTATTTTGATGGAGATTGCATTGGATCTGCAGATTTCATTGAATAGTACTGACTTTTAAACGATATAGATAGTTTTTTTTACTGTGCAGAAGCTTTTTAGCTTAATTAGGTCCCATTTGCCAGTTTTTTGTTGTCGTTGCAATTGTTTTTGGCATCTTCATCATGAAATCTTTGCCAGGACTTATGTCCAGAATGGTATTTTCTAGATTATCTCCAAGAATTTATATAGTTTTAGGTTTTACATTTAAGCCTTTTATCTATTGTGAACTGATTTTTGCATATGGTGTAAGGAAGCAGTCAAGGTTCAATCTTCTGCATATGGCTAGGCAGTTATCCTAGCATCATTTATTGAATAGTCCTTTCCCCATTGCTAGTTGGTCAACTTTGTCAAAGATCACATGTTTGTAGGGGTTTGGATTTATTTCTGGGCTCTCTATGCTGTTTTAGTAGTCTATATGTCTGTTTTTGTACCAGTACCATGCTGTTTTGGTTACCATAGGCTTGTAGTATAGTTTGAAATTGGGTGACGTGCTGTCTCCAACTTTGTACTTTTTGCTTAGAATTGCCTTGGCTATGTGAGTTTTTTTTGGTTCCATGTGAATTTTAGAATACTTTTTTCTAATTCTGTGAATAATGTAATTGGTAGTTTTATAGGAATAGCACTGATATGTAAATTACTTTGGGTAATATGGCCATTATAACAATATTGATTTTTCCTATCCATGAGCATGGAATGTTTTTTTTCATCTGTTCATGTCATCTTTGATTTTTTTGAGCACTGGTTTGTAATTCTCATTGTAGAGATATTTCATGCCCCTGTTAGGTGTATTCCTAGGTATTTTATTGTTTTTGTGGCTATATTGTGAATGGGATTGTCTTTCTGATTTGTCTGTCAGCTTGGATGTTGTTGGTATATAGAAATGCTACTGATTTTTGTACATTGACTTTGTATCTTGAAACTTTGCTGAAGTTCTTTATTAGATCTTGGACCTTTTCAACAGAGACTATGGGTTTTTCTAGGTATAGCATCACATAATCTGCAAACAAAGACAGTTTTACTTCCTCTCCTCCTATTTAGATGCCTTTCATTTCTTTGCCTGATTGCTCTGGCTAGGACTTATAGTACTGTATTGAATAGGAATCATGACAGTGGGCGACCTTGTCTTGTTTTACTTCTAAGGGGAATGCTTCCAGCTTTTGCCCATTTAGTATGATGTTGGCTGTTGGTTTGCAAACTATGCACCTGACAAACAGCTAGGATCCGGAATCTCTAAGGAACTTAAACACAGTATCTAGCAAAAAACAGCCCCATTTAAAAGTGGGCAAAGTACATGAACAGTCACTTTTCACAGTAATGCATATGGCCAGGCGTGGTGGCTCATGCTTGTAATCCCAGTACTTTGGGAGGCCGAGGCAAGTGGATCACAAGGTTAGGAGTTCGAGACCAACCTGGCCAACATGGTGAAACCCCATATCTACTAAAAATACAAAAATTTGTCAAGTGTGATGGCATGCACCTGTAATCTCAGCTACTTGGGAGGCTGAGGCAGCATAATTGCTTGAACCTGGGAGGTGGAGGTTGCAGTGAGCTGAGATTGTGCCACTGTACTGCAGCCTTGCTGACAGAGCCAAAAAAGAGTGCATACAAGTGGCCAAAAACATATGAAAAAATGCTCACCATCATTAATCATTAGTAGAAATGCAAATGGAATTCCAAACCACAATGAGATACCGTCTCACACCAATCAGAATAAGTATTATTAAGAAGTCAAAAAATAACAAATGCTGGCAAGGTTGCAAATAAAAGGGAACACTTATACACTGCTGGGGGAAATGCAAATTATTTCAGCAATTGGGGAAAGCAGTGTGGTGATATCTCAAAGCACTTAAAAGAGAAGTACCATTTGATCCAGCAATCCGCTTATTGGGTATATACCCAAAGGAATAGAAATCATTCTATGATATTGTCTGAATCTGTGTTCCCACTAAGTCTCATGTTGAATTGTAGTCCCTAGTGTTGGAGGTGGGACCCGGTGGGAGGTTCTTGGATCATGGTAATGGATTTCTCATGATTGGTCTATTGTCATCCTCTTGGTGCTGTTCTCATGATAGTGAGTTCTTACAAGATCTAGTTGTTTAAATGTGTGCAGCACCTCCTCCCTCATTGTATCTGGCTCCTGTTTCCACCATGTGAGGCACCTTGCTCCCCCTTCACCTTCTGCTATGATTTTAAATTTCCTGAGATCACACCAGAACCTGAGCAGATGCCAGCATCATGCTTCCTGTACAGCCTATGGTACCGTGAGGCAATTAAACCTATTTTCTTTATAAATTATGCAGTCTTGGGTATTTCTTTATAGCAGTGCAAGAATGGACTGATACATTCTATCATAAAGACACATGTACACCTATGTTAATTCCATACTATTCATAAAAACTAAATACATGGAATCAACAAAAATGTCCATGAATAGTAGACTGGAGAAAGGAAATGTGGTATGTATACATTATGGAATACTACACAGCTGTAAAAAATAATGAGATCATGTCCTTTGCAGCAGTATAGAGGGAGCTGCAAGTATTATACAATGGTATACAATTATACCAAGCCAAGTAATGCAGGAACAGAAAACCGAATACCACATGTTCTCACTTATAAGTGGGAGCTAAATGTTGAGTTCACATGGACACAGTTCTACTTGGGAAAAACAGACACAGGTCTACTTGAGTGTGGAGTGTGGAAGGAGAAAGAAAATAGAAAAACTACCTATCAGTTACTACAGTTACTGTGCTTATTACCTTAGTAACAAGATTATTTGTATACCAAACACGGGTGACATGCAATTTCCTTATGTAACACACTTGCATATTTAGTCCTGAACCTAAATTAAAAGTTAAAAAAAATTAAAAAGTAAAATGCATAAGATAATAACAAAACAATTTTTATTTTTCCTATCCATGACCATAGAATGTCTTTACTTTTTTTGTCCTCTTCAATTTCTTTCATCAATGACTCATAGTTTTAAATGTAGAGAGCTTTCACTTATTTGGCCAAGTATATTCCCAGGTATTTTATTTTATCTTTTGCTATTATAAATGGAATTTTTTTTTCTTTTTCAGATTGTTTGCTGTTGACATATTGCAGTGCTACTGGTTTTTGTTGGTTGATTTTGTATCCTGCAATTTTACTGAATTTGTTTATTAGTTCTAAGTCTTTTTTGATGGAGTCTTGAGGTTTCTCTAAATATAAGATTATATCAGCAGCAAACTGGGATAATTTGACTTCTTTCTAATTTGGATGCCTTTTATTTATTTCTCTTGTCTGATTGCTCTAGCTAGGAATTATAGTACTCTTTTGAATAACAGTGATGAAATTGAGTATCTTTGTTGGGTTCCAGAACTTAGAGGAAAGGCTTTCAGTTTTTCAGTATGATAATATTCGTGGGTTTGTCTTATATGGATTTTTAGATTTTTGAGATTTGTTCCTTCTACACCCAGTTTGTTGAGAGTTTTTATCATAAAGAGATGTAGACTTTATCAAAAGTTTTATCAGCATCAGTAGAAATGACCATATGTATTTTACTCTTTATTCTTTTGATGTGATCTCTCACAGTTTTCAATTTGCATATGTTGACTCATCCTTGCATTTACGGGAAGAATCCCACCTTTTATGGTTAATGGTCTTTTGAATAGTTGTTGAATTCAGTTTGCTAGTATTTTGTTGAAGGTTTCTGCATATATGTTGATTGGTGATATTGATCACCAAACCAACAACAGTTTGTTGCTGCTGTTTTATCTTTGTTGGATTTTGACATCAGGGCAATACTGGTCTTGCATGATGAAATGAGTTTGAGTTTATGAAATGAGTTTGAGAGTATTCCCTCATTCTCAACTTTTTGGAATAGTTTTTGAGTAGGATTGATTTTATTTCATCTTTTAGTGTTTGTTAAAATTCAGCTGAGAAATCATCAGATCCTGGGATTTTCTTTGATAGAATATTTTTTATTATTGGTTCTATCTTGTTTGTTATCAGTCTATTCAGGTTTCTGATTTTTTTATGGTTCAATCTTGGTAGGTTTTATGTGTCTAGGAATTTACACATTTCTTCTAAGTTTTTTAATTTATTGGCATATAGTTGCTCATAATAGTTTTTAATGATCCTTTTAAATTTCTGTGGTATCATTTGTAATGCCTTCTTTTTCTCTTTGATTTTATTTATTTGGGTATTCTCTCTTTTTTTCGTAGTTACTCAGACCAAAATGTTTGTTAATTTTGTTTATCTTTTCAAGAAACCAACTTTTTCTTTCATTTGCAATTTTTTTGTATTTTTTGTCTCAATTTCATTTATTTCTGTTCTCATTGTTACTATTTCTCTTCTACTAATTTGAGGTTTGGTTTGCTCTTGCTGTTCTACTTCTTTAAGATGCATCATTAGTTATTTAAAGTTTTTCTACTATTTTCATGTAGGCATTTATTGCTATAAACATTCCTTTTATTACTGCTTTTTCTGTATCCCATAGATTTGGGCATGCTGTGTTTTTATTTTTATTTGTTTCAATATTTTAAAAAGTTTTCTTCTTAATTTCTTTATTGTCCCAATGCTCAGTCAAGAGAATGTTGTTTAATTTACATGTGTCTACATAGTTTTCAAATTTCCTCTTGTTATTGATTTCTAGTTTTATTCCACTTTTGTCAGAAAAGGTAATTATTTTGAAATTTACAGGACTTGTTTTGTGGCCTAACACATATACTATCTTTGAGAATGTTTCATGTGCTGAGGAGAAGAATGTGAAGTTGGCTGCTGTTATATGAAATGTTCTATAAGTGTCTATTAAATCAATTTGTTCTATAGTACAGAATAAGTCTTCTGTTTTGTTGTTTATTTTCTGTCTAGATGATATATCCAATGCTGAAAGTACAGTGTTGAAGTTCTCAACTATTACTGTATTGGGGCCTATCTCTCTCTTTACCTCAGATAATATTTGTTTTATATATCTGGGTGCTCCAGTATTGAGTGCATATATATTTACAATTGTTACATACTCTTAGTGAGTTGACCCCTTTATTATTATATAATTATTTTTCTTTGTCTCTTTTTACAGATTTTTGTCTTGAAGTCTATTTCTTGTGATATAAGTATAGCTATTCCTGCTCTTTTTAGATTTTCCTTTGCATGAAATATAGTTTTCCATTTGTTTATTGTAACTCTATTATGTGTCCTTATAAGTGAATTGAGTTTCTTATACACAGCATATACTTGAGTCCTGTTTTTCTTTTAACCATTCAGCCACTCTATGTATTTGTATTGGAGAATTTTGATCACTTACATGCCATATTATTATTTATTTATTATTATTATTATTGCTTTGTTTTCTATTTTATTATAATAGACTTTATTTTTCAGAGCAGTATTAGGATCACAGCAAAACTGAGATGAAGGTACAGAGATTTCCCAAATACTCCCTGCTACCACACATGCACACAGGCTCCCCCAGTATCAATATCCCCACTAGAGTGGCATATTTGTTGCAATGAATGAACCTGTCATAATACATCATTAACACACACAGTCCATAGTTAGCATTAGGGTTCACTCTTGGTGTTGTACATTCTGTGGCTTGGGACAAATGTATAATACCATGTATCTAGCACTACAGTGTCACACAGAGCAGTTTCAGTGTCCTAAACATCCTCTGTGTTCTCTCATTCAATTGGATTACTTTTTAGGATAGGAATGGTCAAAAGGGACATCTTTGAAAAAGAAACACTTAAGCCAAGAACAGAAAGCCAAATAGAGTTTAGCCAGGTGAAAGAAGTTAGACAGGACAGATGATTGAAGGGTGCTTGAAGCAAAGAGAAGAATGGTATGGGTTAGGTAAGAATCCAATATATTTAAGGAAAAGAAGAAAGTCCAGCATGCCATGTCAGTGAATGAAGGGCAGAGGGTGGGCATGAGGCATATAGAACACTAAAGGGTTTTAAGTTGGGCACCTCTGGATCTAAGTGGCTTTTTCTCAGAATCCTCTGGAATGAATAGGAAGGGACAAAAATCAAAGCAGATATACTGGCTTAATTTGTGATCTGTTTCTTTACTTTTCTTTCCACATGCCTCTGTTTGATCCTCCAGAAAATCAGCTCTGTTACATCTGCCGCCTCCTGTGAGCACAAGGCACAGAAAGTAGACCCTGTAACCCTCAGAGGGCCTGAAGGAAAGCGATGCTGGTGTGACCTGCCCAAGAGGATGGTGCCCAAGGCAGAGCATTCTAGACCCTCATAGGCAACAGAGCCAGGTCAGTAAGATCAGGTTTCTTCTGGGACCTCTGCAGGCTTAGGGGCATTTTCTCTTTTGAGAACTGGTCAAGATGGGGAAACCTAAGCTTTCAGGAAGCAGATAACTATTTTCTTTTATTTTTATTTCTATGGTATTGATTTATTTTCTATATTTACATCTATTTATCTATCATCTATCTACATATATATTCATTTATTTATTTATGTCAACAGCTTTGGGGGTACAAGTGGGTTTTCCTTACATAGACGAACTATATACTTGTGAAGTCTGAAGTTTTAGTGCAGCCATCACCTGAGTAGTGTACATTGTATCCAATATGTAGGTTTTTAATCCTCACCTCACTCCAACCCTCCTGGCTTCTGCCTCTGTGGTGTCCGTTGTACCACTCTGTATGCCTTTGCATACCCATAGCTTAGCTTCCATTTATAAGTGAGAACATATGGTATTTGGTTTTCCATTTCTGAATTATTTCACTTAGAATAATGACCTTCACCTCCATCCAAGTTGCTACAAAATACCTTATTTCACTCTTTTTAGAGGCTGAATAGTATTCCATGATGTATACCACATTTTTTTAATCCACTCATCAGTTGATGGGCACTTATGTTGGTCACTAACGCAATTGTGAATGGCGCTATGATAAGCATACGTGTGCAAGTATTTTTTGATACAATGACTTCTTTTCTTTTAGGTAGATACCCAGTAGAGGGATTGCTGGATTGAATAACAGATCTACTCTGAGTTATTTTGGAAACCTCCAAACTGCTTTCCATAGGAATTGTACTAATTTACATTCTTACCAGCAGTGTGTAAGAGTTCTCTTTTCACCACATCCATGACAACATCTATTGTTTTTTGACTTCTCAATAATGGTCATTCTGGCTGGTATAAGGAGGTATCTCAATATGGTTTTAATTTGCATTTCCATAATGATCAGTGATGTTGAACATTTTTTCATGTTTATTGATCATTTGTGTATCTTCTTTTGAAAAATGTCTACTCGTGTCATCTGCTCACCTTTTGAGGGGTTTATTATTTTTATTATTGTTGCTTGCTGATTTAAGCTCCTTATAAACCCTGGATACTAGACCTTTGTTGGATGCATAGTTTGCAAATATTTTCTCCCATTCTGTGGGTTTTCTCTTTACTATGATGATTACTTTTCTGCTGTGCAGAAGCTTTTTAATTTAATGAGGTCTCATTTATTCATTTTTGGTTTTGTTGAATTTGCTTTTGGGATATTAGTCATAATTTCTTTGCCTAGGCCAATGTCCAAAAGAGTTTATCCTAGGTTTTCTTTTAGAATTTTTATGGTTTTAGGTTTTAGATTTAAAGCTTTAATCCATCTTAAGTTGATTTTTGTATATGGTGAGAGATGGGGATCCAGTTTCATTCTTCTGCATGTGGCTGCTACCCAGTTTTCCTGGCACCATTTATTGAACAGGGAGTCCTTTCCCCAGTTTATGTTTTTGTGTACATTGTCAAAGATCAGTTGGTTATAAGTATTTGGCTTTATTTCTGAGTTATTTATTCTGTTCCATTGTTCTATGTATCTACTTTTTTTATTTTAACCAATGCCATGCTATTTTGGTAACTATGCCCATGTAGTATAATTTGAAATCAGGTAATGTGATGCTTCCAGATTTATTACTTTTGCTTAAGATTGCTTTGGCTATTGGGGCTCTTTCCTGATCCATATGAATTTTAGCTTTTTTTTTCTAATTCTGTGAAAAAATGGTGGTGATGTTTTGATAGAAATCGCATTGAATCTGTAGATTCTTTTGGGCAGTATGGTCATTTTTAGAATACTTATCCTTGCAATCCATGAGCATAGGATGTATTTATATTCGTTTGTATAGAAGATGATTTATGTTACCACACTTTTGTATTTCTCCTTGTAATGATCTTTCACATTTTTTAAGAATATTTCTAGGTATCTCAATTTTTTTGCAGCTATTGTAAAAGGGATTGCATTCTTGTTTGATTCTCAGCTTGGTTGCTGTTGATGTATAGCAGTGCTACCGATTTGTATACATGGATTTTATAGCTTGAGTCTTTGCTGAATTCATTTATAAAATCTAGGAGTCTTTTGGAGTTGTCTTTAGGATTTTCTATGTAGCCAATCACATCATTGGCAAACAGATGTCCTTTATTTATTTCTCTTGCCTGATTGCTCTAGCCAGGACTTCTATTTTTTTTTTTTTTTTTTTTTTTTTTTTTTGAGACGGAGTCTCGCTCTGTCGCCCAGGCTGGAGTGCAGTGGCGGGATCTCGGCTCACTGCAAGCTCCGCCTCCCGGGTTCACGCCATTCTCCTGCCTCAGCCTCCCAAGTAGCTGGGACTACAGGCGCCCGCCACTACGCCCGGCTAATTTTTTGTATTTTTAGTAGAGACGGGGTTTCACCATTTTAGCCGGGATGGTCTCGATCTCCTGACCTCGTGATCCGCCCGCCTCGGCCTCCCAAAGTGCTGGGATTACAGGCGTGAGCCACCGCGCCTGGCCCAGGACTTCTATTTTTAACAGAAGTGGTAAAAGTGGGCATCTCTGTCTTGTTCCAGTTCTTTGTGGGGATGCTTTCAACTTTTCCATGTTAACTATGATTTTGGCTGTGGGTGTGTACTACATGACATATTATGTTTATGTATGTATGTTCTATACCTAAGTTGTTGAGGATTTTTATAATAAAGAGATACTGGAATTTATTGAATGTGTTTTCTGTATCTATTGAGATGATCATATGACTTTCGTTTTAAATTCTATTTGTGTGATGAATCACATTTATTGACTTGCATATCTTGAACCATCCCTTCTGGGCTGAAACCCACTTGATTATGGTAATTATCTTTTTTATGTGCTGTTGGATTCAGTTTGCTAGTATATTGTTGAGGATTTTTGCATCTATGTTCATCAGGGATATTGGTCTGTAGTTTTCTTTTTTTATGTTCTTTCCTGGCTTTGATGTCAGGGTGATGCTGACTTCACAGAATGAATAAGAGATGATTTCCTTCTTTTCAGTCTTTTGGAATATTTTCAGTAGGATTCATACCAATTATTTGAATGTCTGGTAGAATTTGGCTGCAAATTCATCTAGCTTTGGGCTTTTTTGATGTCATTTTTTTCATTACTGATTCAGTCTCACTGCTTATTATTGGTGTATTCAGGATTTCTGTTTCTTCCAGATTAAAGCAAGGAGGGTTATATTTCTCCAGGAATTTATTCATTTAGTATAGATGGTCTAGTTTGTATGTATAGAGGGGTATTCATAGCAGTCTCAAATGATCTTTTGTATTTCTTTATTGTCAATTGGAATGCCTCCATTTGCATTTCTAATTGAGCTTATTTGAATCTTCTCTCTTCCTGGTTCTTCTATAGCTAATGGTCTATCAATTTTATTTATTATTTATAAGAACCACCTTTTTGTTTCATTGATCTTTTGTAATTTTTTGTTTCAGTTTCATGTAGTTCTATTCTGATCTTTGTTTCTTTTCTTCTGCTGGCTTTGAATATGGTTTGTTATTGTTTCTATAGTTCATTTAAATGAGATATTGGGTTGCCAATTTGTGATCTTTTCAGACTTTTTGATGTAGGCATTTAGCACTATAAACGTTCCTCTTAGCATTGCTTTTGCTGTATCCCAGAGGTCTTTATACCTTGTCTCACAGTTAATATTCATTTTGAAAAATTTTTAAATTTTTATCTTGATTTCATTGTTAACCCCAAAATCATTCAAGAGCAGATTTGATTAATTTCCATGTATTTCTATAGTCTTGAGGTTTCCTTTTGGAGTTGACTTCTAGTTTTATTTCACTGTGGCCTTGAGAAGATACTTGATAGGATTTTGATATTTAAAAAATTATTCAGACTTTTGTGGCATATCATATTGTCTATCTTGAAGAATTTCCATGTGCTGATGAGAAGAGTGTACATTCTGCAGTTCTAGAGTAGAGTGTTCTGTGCATATCTGTTAGTTCTGTTTGTTCTAGAGTACAGTTTAAGTCCAGTGTTTCTTTGTTGACGTTCCACCTTGACGATCTGTCTACTGCTGTCAGTGGAGTGTTGATGTCCCCTATTATTATTGTGTTGGTGTCTATCTCTTTTCTTAGGTCTAGTATTAATTGTTTTATGGATCTGGGAGCTGCAGAGTTAGGTGCATATATATTTAGGATTGTAATATATTTTTGTTGAACTGATCATTACATAATAACCTTCTTTGTTTGGTTTTACTATTGTGGCTTCAATGTTGTTATTGCTAGGGAAGGACTTATTACTGTCATTTTGTTATCCCTTTTCTGGTTGTTTTGTTGTTCTTCCCTTTCTTTTCTTCTTCCTCCTTATTGTCTTCCTTTGTTTAAAAGTTATTTTCTCTGGTAGTATTTTTTAATTCCTTGCATTTTATTTTTGTGTCTTTGTTACAAGGTTTTTGCTTTGGGATTACAATGAAGCTTATAACCAATTATTTTAAACTGATGAAAACTTAACTTTGATCACTGAAAACAAAAGAAAAAAGAAAGAAAAGAAATAAACACACAAACAAGAGAAAGCTAAAAAGCTCTATAACTTCATCCCCCCACTTTTTAATTATTTGTTGACTCTATTTATATATTTGTACAGTCTCAACAAATTGCTGTAGTATTATTTTTAATGGGTTTGTCTTTTGTTTTTTCTATGAAATATATGAGCTTTTTTACTTACTGCAGCTACAGTGCTAGAGTATTCTGTATTGTCTGTGTACTTACTTTTACCAGTAAGTTTTATATGTTCAGTTAATTTATTTTTGCTCATTAATGCCCTATTCTTTGAGACTGAAGAATTCTCTTTAGCATCTCTTGTAAGACAAGTCTGCTGTTGATGAAATCCCTCAGCTTTTGTTTGTCTGGTAGATCTTTATTTCTACTTCATGTTTGAAGGATAATTTTGCTGGAAATAACATTCTAAGTTGGGATTTCTTTTTTCTTTCACCATTTCAAATATCTGTCCTGATCTCTAAGGTTTTTACTGAGAAGTCTGCTTCCAGATGTATTTTAACTCCTTTATATTCTATTTGTTTTCTTCTCCTTCTGCTATTAGGATTCTTTGTTTATCCTTGTGTTTGTAAAGTTCTGTGTTATTACTTCCTTGAATAAGATTTGTATCCCATTCTCTCTCTCTACATCCTCTTTATAACCAATAACTCTTAGATTTTTCTTCTTTAGGCTATTTTGTAGATCCTATAGGCATGCTTCATTCTTTTTTTTTTCTTCTCTGACTGTGTATTTCCATGTAGCCTGCATTTAAGCTTACTAATTCTTTCTTCTGCTTGATTAAGTCTGCTGTTGAGAAACTCTGATGCATTTTTAAGGTTGTTAATTGAATTTTTCAGCTTTAGAATTGCTGCTTAATTATTTTAAATATTTCAATCTCTTTGTTAAGTTTCTCTGAAAGAATTTGGAATTCTTTCTTTGTGTTAACTTCAAGCTCATTGAGCTTCCTCAACACAGCTATTTTGAATTAATTGTCTGAGAGGTCATGTATCTGTCACTCCAGAATCGGTCACTGGTTCCTCACTTAGTCCATTTGGTGATGTTATATTTTCCTGGAATTTCTTTCTTTTTTCTTTTAAATTTTACTTTATATATTTTTTTGATTTTACTTTTTTCTTTTAAATTTTACTTTATTTTTACAGATGGGGTCTCACTCTGTCCAGCCTCAAACTCCTAGGCTTGAGCAATCCTCACACCTCAGACTCCTGAGTAGCTGGGAATACAGGCACATACCACCTGGCTAATATTTTGAGAGAGATGGAGTCTTACTATGTTGCCCAGGCTGTACTCTAACTTCTGACCTCAACAATCCTTTCACATCAACCTCCCAAATAGCTGGGATTATAGACAGGAGCCACCACATCTAGATTTGGATGTTTTTGATGCTTGTGGACATTTATCAACGTCTTGGCATTGAAGAATCAGGCATTTATTACAATATTCACAGTCTGGGCTTGTTTGTACTTATCCTTCTTTCCATGAATTCAAAGGAGCTTGAGTGTTCTGACTTAATCCTGTGGTCACTGCAGCTCTTTCAGCACGGGGGAGTGTCTTAAGCATAGGAACACTGTGGCTCTTGTAGACTCCTAATTACATAGCCTGGGGTTACCTGGAGGAGGGTGTATTATCTGGGATACCAGGCAAAGTCTCTTGCTCTCTTCCCTCTCTTTTCTCCAATCAGAAGGGATCTCTCTCTGCACTGGGCTGCCTAAAGTTTGGTAAGGGGTAATATGAGCATCTTCATGGCCACCACAGCCGACATGGCCCTGGGTCACATCTGTAGCCCATTGTTTTCCAGATCAGCATGGTACTAAACCTTGCCCAAGGCTTGTGGCCACTAATGCCTAGCTGCCACTCATTTTTATTCAAGGTCCTGGATCACTTTAAGCAGCAGGTGGTGAATCCTTCTTGGATTGGGTCCATTCCATTAGGGGAGCGAATTCCCAGGGTGGGTCTATAAACACCATGCAGGAGTAAAAACCTGGAATTGGTGCTTTATAAATCTGCTTGGTGATTTATTTTACTGTGTCGGAGTTTATACTCAAGTTTCAAGACAAAATCTTCTCTATTCTTTCTTTTTCCCCTAAAAAGGAGGCTGCCTGTGAGCTGCTCATCCTGCAATTGGGGGAGGGGTGATGCAGGCACTCTCAGGGCTGCGGGCTTCTGCAGCTGGTGACACTCTGGGTCTCACTCCATATCCACTGTCTCCAAAATCAGTGCAACACCAGGGCTTGCCCAGGGACTGCAGTCTCTGTGGCCTTACTGACACTGAAATTTATTTGGGGCCCCTGGCCACGTTAGTCAGCCCATGTTGAAACTGGCTGAGACTCATGTTTCCTCAAGTTAGGGTGGAGGATTCCTCTCTGGCCCAGTGTTGGTCTAAATGCTCCCTTTAAGTGTGCCAGCAGAATTCTGCCCTATGATAGGGTAGCACTGAGCTTTAATGCAAAGTCCCATGCTTACTCTCCCTCCCCAAAGCACACAGATTCTCTTTGTGCTGTGCTGTCTGGGCTTGAGGGAGGGGTCCTGTAGGCAATGTAAGACTGTCCTGCCTGTCCCCTTCAATGCCTCTTTCCTTGTTATTCTGTTACAGCCGGGTACTATGATTACTCATCTGAGTTTCTGGTTCCTATGAAGGCGATTTCTTGCATGGATAGTTGTTTAATTGGGTGTTCCTACAGGGGGGTGGTCACTATTTGGCCATTGTGCTCTGCTTCTCCTGTAGAATTACCTACGTTTATTATTGAAGAAAAATTAATAGATTTAGTGTAGTTTAAGTGAACAGTGTTCTAAAGTCTACAGTAGTGCACATTAATATTGTAGGCCTTTACATTCACTCGCCACTCACTCACTGAGTTGCCCACAGTAACTTTCTTTTCTATAAGCTTCATTCATGATAAGTGCCCTATGCAGGTGTTCCATTTTTTTATCTTTTATGTTCTATTTTTACCGTGCTTTTTCTATGTATCAATATGTTTAGATACACAAATACTGATCATTGTGTTACAATTACCTACAAGTATTCAATATAGTAACATGCTACGCAGATTTTAGGCTAAAAGCAATAGGCTATATCATATAGCCTGAGTGTGTTATAGGCTATACCATCTAAGTTTGTGTAAATGCACTCTATAATATCCCCAGGATGACAAAGTTGCCTAATGATGCCATTTTTCAGAACATATCCCCATCATTAAGAGGCACATGACCATATTTATATTCTGGTACATAGTAAAATCAACCTACAGTAGATGACATCTAGCACCTAGATATATTCTAGCAAAGCTATTATACTTTAAAACAAAGGAAAAAACATTCTTTGAGTATCCAGGCAAGAAGTTCAAGTCACTTATAAAGCAAATAAAATAAGACTGATATTCAGCCTTTTTATCTGTAATGTTTTGTGCCAAAGAAAACTATTAATACGCTTAAAGTTCTAAGGAAGAAAAAGCATAACAAAAAGATTTTATGTCTGTCTAAATTTACCTTCTAGTGTAAAGGTAGACTTTAAGAATATGTCAGAATGGAAGGAATACTGTTTCCATAACTCCTACCTAGAAAATTATCTGTAGAATATAAAAACAATTGAGCTTAAAATCTGGTGCTAAACATTGAATATATGTTTATCTATAGAGAAATGACTAACAGATATAAAGAAGACAATAAAGTATCTGTAGGTTAAATATTCTGACATTTTAGATAAAGTAACAATCAATAGTGGTTTACAAAATTAAGAAAGTGTATGGAAAGGATAATCACTTCACTATTTACTGATAATAACTGGGAGTGAAAGATATTACTTCAAATCAGATTTGTAGGGAGATGGGGGAGGGGAATAAAAATTCCCCAGTAAAATTTAATTTCATTTACAGAGGGAAACAATAGAACTTGAAAAAGTTAGAGGACTAAGGATATTCTTCAAAAGCATTAGTATAAATGTTATAAATATAGCCATTATTCTAGAATTGCAAAACTTTCTAAATACCAAAATATATGAGGAGAGAGAGAACAAATAAGTGACCACATAATGACATACCTTGTGTGCATAAAACATTAAAAATATAAGAGAATGGAGGCCAAATATATTAATTCTAGTGTAATGAAATGAACTTAAATCACCAGTAGAAAGAAAATTGTTTTATTGAATAAAAATGTAAAATCCAAAATTTCACTTTATATAAGTGACAGACCTGAAAAAACAACATTAAAAAGTGATAAAAATAGAAGGATGCACTGATATGTACTACTCAAATGCAATTGAAGTAAAGTAGGAGTTAAAATCTTGATATCCAAAAGTACAAAATTGATGCCAAGTAGATTATATAATGATGAAATATTTCATAAATTTAAAAACAATATTTCTCAGTGAAGCTGTAACAGCCATTAATTTTTATGCCAATAGTAATATAGCAGTGACTTTCTTTAAACACCAACTGCAGCTGCAAAAAGAACTGTACAAGGAAATTAATAAAAATAAAAATCAACACATTCTTCTTTAATCAAGGTGAATCAAGTGGACAAAAGTTTCATAAAGATATTGAAGTACTGAACATCTGTCATCAATAATTTAGATATTATATTAATATATTGAAACCTTAACCCAGATGATACTATACTTGTCTTAAGTACAGCAAAGTTATTCATAAAAATTCATCATTTTATACCACAAATGAAATCTTAATACTAAAAAAAAAAAAACTAAGAGCATTCTGTGAATTTTGAATAAAACAATAATTTGTAACAAATTTGAAAACAAAAAATTCTTCCACATGGTATTAAAATGGACAGTGTTAAACAACCCCGGGATCAAACTGGAAACAAATAAAACTACATTATTTCTCAAAATTAAAATGGGGCTTATCAGGATTTATGGGATACAGCTAAAGTAAGAATCAGAGAACATTTGACAGCATTAAATATATGCACCAATAAAAATTAGAAAAAAAATTGAATTAATATCATTTTTAAAGTTATTTTAAAACCAACAACATATTAAACCTAAAGAAAACAGGGAGAAGAATTTGAGGGAATTGTCACCTAAATTAGAGTGTACCTCAGCACTGTTTTACATTAGTGGACCAGAGCTGTTTAAATAAACAGTATTGCTGCCTTCATGGAACTTTCAGACGATTTGAATTTTAAAAAGGACTGGCTTGGAAAGGCAGGTTGATTTCTTTTCTCTCCAGAGTTGTGTTATGGGATAACAATTTGTAACACAATATGGTCACAGTTAGACTATACAAATGCAGACTTTATTACTGAAATATTTAAGATTTATATATAGATCTAGTATTTATTAACAGGTACCCAATAAATACCCCATTCTAATATAATTTCCTTATATTTATAGTTTACACTATATTTCAGTAATTTACAGTATGTTTCAGAAAACTAATTGTTTCTCTTTCCAGAATCTATTGAAATATTATTTTTTTCCGTGCATCCACATTTGTAAGAACACTGATGGATATGATGGTTTCTGTTTCATCAATATTAATTTAAAGCTGCTGAATATCCTTGGAGAGCTAATCAAGAAGGTAGAAGTTTTTCCACATTAATGTTGTCAAGTGACAGTAGATTTAAGAGGTAACGAGCACTATTTACTTAAAAAGAAAATGTTTTCCCTTATGCAATTACTGTTAGAAAAATCATTAGCCACAACAAAAGCTCTATGAGTCAGTTAAACATATGTCTCATTCTATAATTTATACTTCTTCTTAACAGGCTGTGATCCCTTAGGTCGAGATTACTTTAGAAATACAAAGAGGACCTTAAAACTAAATAATTTCTATTATAAAATGAACATGTAAATTATCTGCTAAATTACTTGTACTTAATTAGTAATTTTGCATAATGACATACATTCTCTTTGGGTCTCTTCAGGCTCCGACAGATAACACTTTACAAATGTTACTTAAGTTCCAATTACAGCACAAACCTTGTAGAAATGTACTATTAATCTAAATATGCAAACGTGAGCAATACTAGCATTCCTTAGACAAACTATAATTCAACATTTCTGCTAAAGGGTACCTTGGCTCATTTTGAATTCAATGCTTTTTATGTTATTGTTTCTTACTTAGAAACTAACAGCTATCCATTTTTAAAAGTTTGTAGGTGAATAACATAGTGTACAATTATTAGAGTTAGCTCATTTGACTTTTAGTGTAGAAATTCAGATTACAAAAATATTTATCTTCTGATTTAAATGCTGTGGTTTTTTGGTAGTTAACGATAAAATAACCATGGAAGACAGCTACTAGTACTATCACTGCAGTGTTCTGGCTGAATTGTTCTAATCTTGTCATAATAACTTTGGGTTTTAAATGATTATATGTAATTCACTTAGAGGAACAGTACATTTATTTCAAATAAAATGATGAAAATAAAAATTATTTATTTCTTTAACAAATATTTATTGAATAATTACAATGTATAGAGGATAGAGCAATGGGGAAGATAGACATAGATCTCAGAAGTTTACATTCAGACTGTGTGTATATGACAGTATGTTTTGTACATGACTCTGTGTGTGTGTGTGTGTGTGTGTGAACTGGGAGAGAAATAATGATTAGAAGTTGATTAGAAATAGATAATGTGTGTTGGGGGAGAGAAAGAAGGAATAGGAAAATAGACAACCTATTATCAGAGTTTGTAAGAAAAATAAAGTTATGTAATAGACAAATGACTTGAATAAGAAGTCTACTTTAAATATAGCCTTCCATTTTACACAGAAATATAAAATAAATTTTACATAGCTTTCAGGCCCGTCAAATTAAAGTACTGGATAAATTATATGGAGATTGTATTTTGCTTTCTTTGAAATGTAATCTAGAGTGGTTCAACATTTTGGAAAATCATGTCACCTCTGGCAATACCATTTGTGCCATATGAATTGTCATTTCAGCTTCTACACTGACATCACTAGCATCATTTTGTGATAGCATTTGTATAATAATGGTGATTTCGACTCTATTTAATAATGTTATATATAAAGAAAAAACATCTACAATATTCGGTTGAAGTTTTGCTATAGTGTTTTATCACTTTACCTGAAAATTAATATCATGAATGTAATCTACCAACTTCTTTTTCAAATTAAGCAACAAAAATGTTAAGATTAAATGCGAAGTTTAAAAAGAAGTACAGTAGCTCACATAATCCTGAAACTTAAGAAATTTAAAAAAATTTTAAAAATTAAAAAAATTCTACTGTCATTAGAATGTTTAAAAACACTTAAATTCAGAATGAGCAAGGTTTCTTTTATATATAAAGTACAAATAATGCAAAATATTAATATGATGAACCACACAACACTGGAGAAAAAAAAATCTTACCAGCCAAATGTGAAGTTTTAAAAGGGAGTAATTTATTCTTCTGATTGTCCAAAGGCAATGTTTATAGAGGAATCAATGAGAAGGTAAAATATTAGGTATATAATAAACTGCAAATCATATGTAAAATTCAAAAGGATAGGGGAGATGTTATTTATTTATTTATTTATTTTTTAAACAGAGTCTGGCTCTGTTGCCCAGGCTGGAGGTCAGTGGCAGGATCTCAGCTCACTGCAACCCCTGCCTCCAGGGTTCAGACAATTCTCGTGCCTCAGCCTCCCAAGTAGCTGGGACTACAGGCATGCGCCACCACGCCTAGATAATTTTTGTATTTTTAGTAGAGATGAGGCTTTGGCGTGTTGCCCAGGCTGATCTCAAACTCCTGAGCTCAGGCAGTCTGCCTAAATATGGATATAGGTAAGATTGAAGTAGAGTTTCTTATAAAAAATATTTCATAATATTTTATTTAAAGATACCAATTTTCTATGGAGTCAATGTTTCCTATAAGAATACATTTAAACTTTCATATAGATAATAAGATAGATTATCTTTACTGAGTGATTTTTCTTGGTTCCTTGATCCCAATTTAGCTCCTTTAGGGACGCGTTTCATTTATAAAGACAAGACAGGATTCACCACCTTCCTTTTTCCTCTTTGGAATTGTTTGAAATGTTAAAATCCTCTCCTAATTTATTGTGTAATAATCTTAGCTATGTAGCCTTTAAAACATGCAGAAAGTAGCAAAAGCTCATTAAGAATAAAGATATTTGTAAAGTGAGACCCTGTCTCTACAAAAAAAAAAAAAAAAAAAAAAAAAAACTAGGCATAGGGGCACATGCCCGGTAGTCCCAGCTACTCTGGAGGCTGAGGCAAGAGTATTGCTTGAGCTAGGAGTTCAAGGCTGCTTTGAGCTAACATCACACCACTGCACCCCAGCATGGACTACAGATCAAGACTCTATCTTAAGAAAATAAAAAAATAAAGAAAGAAAGAATAAATATGCTTGTATTTAAACAAAACAGAATACTGAATGTGGGGAGGAAAAGTATCCAAAAGTATACGGCCTTTAGCTAAGGTGACCCTTATTCACATTAAATAAATAATATCACGTGAACAATTAAATAAATTTTGAAAATAAAATCTTTCACTGTCAAACTCAAAATTGTGATTTGTTTTTGACTTAGAGTAAATATTATTTCTTGTAACCTTTATGGACATTTGCATGGAAAATATTCTTGGTCTATTGGTATATTTAAAATATATATATATATACACACATACTTCAAAAACCAGCATCTGAACATTATATCCAAGCATTAACAGTGATGACTCGGCAAACTAAAACACTATGAAGGCAGAAAGACAGAAGAGTGATGAATTTTATATTGCGATTAATACCTTATTTATACTCAATATGAAAGACACAGTACTAAAAAAATAGAGACAAGCTATAATGAAAATGAGTTGAAAGGAATTCTATTATGTTTGGATGTTTATCCCCAATGTGATGATCACTCTCAAATGTGATCCCCAGTGTTAGAGGTGGAGCCTCATGGAAAGTGTTTGTGTCACGGGAGCAGATCTCACATGACTAGATTAACCTTTCTAGTGTGAGAGTTGAGTGAGTTCTTGGTCTATTAGTTCCTTCCAGAGCTTGTTGTTAAAAATAAGCTAGCATCACCCCTCTCCTACTCTTTTGCTTCCTCTTTTACTATGTGATCTCTGCACACACTGCCTCCCCTTTTCCTTCTACCATGAGTGGAGGCAATCTGAGACCCTCACCAGGAGCAATTCTGATGCCATGCTTCTTGTACATACTGGAGAAGTGTCAGCCAAATAAAACCTTTTTGCTTTATAAATTACCCAGCCTCAGATATTTCTTTATAGCAACATAAAACAGACTAATGCAGTAAATCTGTACCAAAGGAGGGATGGTGTAAAGATACCTGAAAATGTGGAAGCAGCTTTGAAACTGGGCAATGGGGAGAGGTTGGAAGCGTTTGGAGGGCATAAGCTGTAAGCCCCTCTGTCTTCCACATGGTATTGAGTGTGCAGATGCCCAGAATGCAGGAGTGCTGGAGGCTTGGTAACATTCACCTAGGTTTCGGAGGATATATCCTCAGGCAGAAGCCTGCCACAGAGGCAGAACCACTGTAGACAGTACTCACCAGGGCTTTGCTTAGTGGAGCTGTGGAAATGGGGCCACTGCCTTAAATTTTATTAATTTTCAACAGTCAATTTTTCCATATATTTAAGAAGGAAATCTCCAAGATCTTACATGAAATTATTCAAAAAACCTAGAGTTACAATATACTTTCCTAACATACTTTATAATGTAACATATTCTTAACACTAAAACCTGAAAATAATATTGAAATATATTAATAGTCAATATCTCTCGTAGCTATAGAAGCTAAAAGCTTAAACAACAATATTATTATTCATTTTTATCAAAAGAAACATTAAGAAAAAAGAGTGTAAACCACAGGAGAAAAATAGTTACAATAAATATCTCTAACAAAAGACCTGATTTCAGATTATATAAGGCACTTGTATAAATCAATAAATAAAAGAATGACAATCCATTAGAAAATTGGGCAAAAAACTTGAAAAGCTGCTCAAAAATAATAATATCTAAATTGATATGGACATAAAATGGAAATTCAGTAAAAATATAAAAATATGTTACATTATTTTTTGCAAAAAATTTTAACTGATAATATAGTTTTTAATTTCATGATGGGAATTTACCAGGAATATTCTTATATTATAATAAGCTTTAATTAACTTACCATTTTACATATTTTTCTGTTGTCCAATTTTCCCTTTGTCATTTCAAAGTATTTTAAATTTGCTATGAAAATGGTAACATATATTATATTCTAGAAATACATGATAAAATTTTACAACTTTGATGTGTCCCCACTAATAGTTAATTCTATTCTCTTTATTTTGAGTTAATAAAATAAATAATTGGCAAAACATTAGAAAAGATAAGATGAAATGTACTATTTAAATGTAGGTATTCTGACAATTTTGTATGTGTTGATGGAGTAGATAGATATTGTTAGGATATAAATGACTTTATATTATAAGTTACCATTCTGAAATAAAATGATCAGAAAGAATATTTAATGAACATTGTTTATATCAGGAAAAGTTTTCCACACCTCTCGATTCTATTCTTAAGACATTATAATATGATCGTTTTGATGAACAACACCAACAAAAATTTAGTAAAGCAATATTTATGAAGTGCTGAGAAAATTGTAACCATGTTTTGGGATATAATGGTTAGCATGTGCAACTATGAGATTTTAATTTTGTGTTCTTTTTATTTTTTATTTTTAACCGTAATACATATACAGTAAAGTATGTAGTGTATACAGTGCTCCATGTTTTTAACATAAATGCCTGTGTAATCACAAACAGGTCAAGAACAAGGGATTGCCTGCCTTTCAGAAATTTATTTTATTTCCCTTCCGATTCTAGCCTCCCTTTCCCCAAAATAAGCACTATCTTGAATTCTAACACAATACTATACTTCTGGCTACTTTACACTTTATGTAAACTGAATTATATAGTATGTATTCATTTGGGTCTGACTTCAGTCACTTTACATGTTTGTGTAATCCATTCTATTTTTGCAAGAAGTTTTACTTCGGTTCATGTATTTTCATGGCTGTATCATGTTTCGTTTATTAATATACCAAAATTTGTATGTCTTTTTAACTGCTGATGGACATTTGAGATATTTTGAGTTTATACTGGCATAAAAAATGTTACTAAAAGCATTCTGGATAGTGAACTTGTTATGTATCTGCATGTGCTTCAATTATGTGAGGATTTAATTAATTAATCAAACTCCATTGCTAACTTTAACACAAATCCCATGAGTTGAAGAATGCCAAGGGTGGGGGAGGTTTCATATCTTGGATTGGAACGTGGAAAATCTTTGTACCAGGAGTCCAGGTGAACCTAAATAGCATGGCCATTATAGCATGATCTTTCTTGAAATTGGCTTAATCAAATTAATTGATCTTTTCATACACCCACAAAGTAGGAATCTAATTTTTTTAAAGTGAAATTTGCATTCTCTATCAAAATTACCTGCAATGTTATCATCACATGTATATTTGGCTCAAGAACTGAAGTAGAAATTAATACTACAGATATATCTGGATAAGTCAACAAAGACATACTCCATATTTATTAATTATAGCATTGCTAAAAATGCCATATAATATGCAGGGCACGGTGGCTCATGCCTGTAATCCCAGCACTTTGGGAGGCCAAGGCAGGTGGATCAAGTGAGATCAGGAGTTTGAGACCAGCCTGGCCAACATGGTGAAACCCTGTCTCTACTAAAAATACAAAAATTAGCCGAGCATGGTGGTGGGCGCCTGTAATCCCAGCTACTTGAGAGGCTGAGGCAGGGAGAATCGCTTGAACCCGGGAGGCGGAGGTTGCAGTGAGCCGAGATCGCGCCATTGCACTCCAGCCTAGGTGACAGAGTGAGACTCTGTCTCAAAAAAAAAAAAAGACATAATAAAACCAAGAACCAAAAATGATAAAAGAATAAAAGAACAGAAAACAGCAAAAATGGTCTGTCCTTAGTTACTGTAGAACCAAGCAGAACTGGTAAATATTCCTGGGCCCAATATGGGCTCCCTCTTCCTGCAATAGATATTGCCATGCCTGAATGCTAACCAATTAGCAGTAGAGAATAAACTTTAGCCCTAAGTATTGCTACCATCCCTTGAAAAGCTCACCTAGCCACTGTGTGATATATTGATTACATTGGATCCTTTTCACCCTTAAGTAGTAAATAATTTACCTATACTGGATTCATATATTCACATACTCTTTAAAGTTCTCCTTAGCTTGACTAAATTTTAGATGGATTTCTTTCTGACTATGAACACCTGACTTGCCTAGTCTTATAGCATTTGCTACGGAAACATTTCCATTGTGTATTCTTTTCCTGTCACTTTGAAATGTATGTAAATCTCCTGACCCTTGCCAGTTGTATAACCCAAGAAATGTCTTTTTCAAGGACCTGGGAACAATTTCTTTGAAATGTAAACATCAAAGGAGCTGCAACCCCTATCTGCTAATCTCCATGGGAGGGTAGGAGCCTGTTTTCAATGGGCAACGATTAGTAAACCGATAGCATAATCACAGAGAAAAATATTTAGAAACTCAGGAATAAATCAATGTGCTAGACACATGCCGTTGATCAACCCCAGCCTCAAAGTCCTCCAATATTTTTTCGCTAGTTCATTCCAGTGTTTAAAAGTTCTCCCATCTTTTTTACAGTGGAGTTCAGCTTCCTTTATTGCAATCTTCTTGAATTAAAAAGTCTTCTTTGCCTGTTTAACTTTATCTGGCTTAATTTTTGCTTTGACTTGGGAACGGGTATGTGTTTTCCTTCTCTTTCTGCAGTGCCTTAACCAGCAATTCTACTCAAAGGTTAACACATTGACTGATTAATTATCTTGAACAGTGCTTTGGAACAAGCAGTAATCAATATAGGAAAGGTAGTGCAACAATGAATAAAATGTCCCTAGAATCCTTTGGACTGAATATATTTCTGATACATAGAATGCCTATGCCTCAGTGTTTTCTCACCATTGTACCCAGTGATGCAATTGAGAATATTTTTGCTTTTTTGAGCAATTTTTGGCCTTCTGGACCTCTTCTAGGTCTTTGTTATGAGGGGAGGGACACTTTTACCCAAGAACATATTGAAGATACTACCAAAAAAAAATTATTCATTCAACTAATTTTGAGCTCCTTATGTCATTCAACTTATTTTGAGCTCCTTATGTCATTAAAACAGCACACAAAAAAGGAGTTAGTATACTGGCAGGGATAACAGACCATAATTTTTATGAGAAGGTGGGGTTGTTGCTGTGCAATGAGGGTAGAAGGAAATATGTCTGT
This sequence comes from Homo sapiens, assembly GCF_000001405.40. Classification (NCBI taxonomy): domain Eukaryota; kingdom Metazoa; phylum Chordata; class Mammalia; order Primates; family Hominidae; genus Homo; species Homo sapiens. Next base: position 134,148,683 of record NC_000004.12, on the reverse strand, counting down.
AGTTAAAACAATTCCTTGGGTTATCTCAGTGCTTCCATTAAATCAAAATCTTAAATGGCAATTGCATAAGACACAATCTGACAAAGCAATTGGTAACCAAAGGTTTGGAAGCTTCAGGCATGAAAGTATAATTTGTCACACTGGGAAAGTACTCTGGACTAGCCGAACTGCTGACACAAGTTGAGGGAAATCTGATAGGAGCAGTAAAAGATGGATATAAAGAATATCAGCTGTGGCCAGACTCAGGACCCACTAAAAAAGCAGAGCTAAAGCTTGACCTACTCTCCATCATCCTGTAATTTGTTGGTTTTGTTTGTGTTTTAAAAAATTTTTGACCATCCCTTAAAAAGGGATATTCCATAAATAACATTAAGGGATATACCATGAATAACATTAAATAAACTATGAATTTAATTTAGAGCCTGAGGGGGTTCTGAGCAATGTAAGGTAAAGATAGGAGTATTCATAGCAAAGCCTTGCCCAAATACTTGGAATGGTTCAGTAAATTATGGCTAATTTCCAAGTATCAATCTCTGTGTTTCTGTGTCTGAGGACTTGTTCTGACAGCACAGAAGGCTGCTCTCTGTGCATTGTGAGTGCTGGGAATGAATGGGTTATGGAATTCACACCACTCTATGAGCAGTCTTCAAATAATCATCTTGGGAAATAATACATAAATATACCAGCTCCTGTGCCTCTCAAGTGAAATTATGAAGTGTGACTTTATGCCATTTTCCAGAGTTTCTCAATGGGACTAAGTTCCAGGTATCCACTGTGATAGCCGATTGTAATGCATCCTTTATGACTGCCTTTTCTTCCCTATCATTTTTCCACATCTCCAACAATGACATTTGAAATTCAAACCAATTAATTGCATTCAAACACTTATTTTAACATCTTCTTCTAGGAAAAAACAACAACAACAACAACAACACACACACACACACACACACACACTGTAATTTCTGAACATTGACTACCAAAAGAGGGGGTAATTCCTAAATCCTCATGTTATGGACAGTGGTAGTCATCTGTATAATTTGTTTTAAGATAGAATAGCATTTCAAGAGTAAATTGAATTTACTTGTCTTTCTTTTAGTTCATGAATATATGTAATGAATGTGTGGTTTATAAGTAAATTTATACAAATGTTATCTCCTATATAATAAACCCCTTGATTACACATTTGACTTCAGTTACCCAGATAAATTTCACACATCTCCTCAAAAATAAATATTAGCAAAATAGTTAATTTTTTTCATAGTTTTTGTAGGATCATCTTTAAGTTAAATTAAAGGAAGTTTAAACATCATGCAGGATTTGTTGATAAACATTGCCTTTACTTTAAATCCAAACTGAAACTAAGACTCAAGGGAGAATATTTTCTACTTATTATTTCTATAACATTTAAAAAATTAAAATTGACAAACAATTGAGTTCAAATTTTTAAATTTGGCCAACATGTGATTAAAAATACGAAACTATGAGTTGTTGCTTTCTAACACAAGCTGAAATTTGTAGTTCAAATATGAATGAAATAAACAGCCCAAATCAGTTATCTGAGAAATGCTGATGTATGGAAAGAAAGTGTATTATTTTGTTATGATAATGCTTTCCTTGTATTTCTATCAAGATAAAAATAAAGTACACTTCACTGATTGGATTAACATGTTTCTGGCTTTTGATAGTGACAGAAGACAGACAAATTCCTAAGTAGACAAGACTGGGACCCCAGTGAAACTCGACCTTCAAGCCAAGGGTAGTTTAAAGCCTGAAAAACTGAGGTGCCAGTTCCAGATACAGTCCATGACTTGAGTGAGAACTTCCATTGCCATCTTACTCACTCTCTCTAGATTGGTTCCTTCTGAATGATGCCTTGTAACCAATCAAATGGTGCTTTTTCCAAGACCACCCATGGACCAATCAGCACACACTGCCTTATTCTAAGCCCATAAAAACCCTGGACTCAGCCTCACAAACAACTATTGGGTACCCTCTTGATTCTGAGAGCTTTCTTTCTGTCACCCAATAAAATTCTACTCTGCCTTACTCACTCCTCAGTGTCCATGTACCTTATTCCTCTTAGTCACAGGACAAGAACCCAAAACTCACCAAACTGCAGGAGCAAAAGATCTGTAACACTCCTGCTTGCTGAGCTGCTGGCGGTGGTAGTAAAAGAGCTGAAATATTTCCTATTGCTTGTCAGACAACAAGAGAGAAGAAGCTGCTGGGTGCCATTTTTTCTCATTCTCCAAACTAAGGGAGTGAAAAAGCCATATCATTTGTATTTGATAAATTATTATTTTGTAATAATTTCTTATATAGAAAAAAACATTAAAAATCACTGTATTGAATTTTTTATTCAAATTGCATCTTTTATTCACTTTATATTTTTATTATTCTATCATAAGTAATATGGACATTAGACATGAGAATGTATAAACTTGAAATATAGATATTCTCATTATATTATTTTGCTAATAAATTTAGTATGTTAATAAATGATACACAAAGCCAAAATAAACCCAAAACAAAAAGTATCAGAATTTTGTTCAACATGAGTAAATAAAATATACATGTACATTTTACTAATTTTATTATCCAAATATAAAAGCATTTGTTTAATACAAAACAAATCCACAACTATATATTAATATCTTATAAAAGGATAGATACTGACTTGTCCATAACTGGATGTATAAATATCAAATTACCACTGCCATATTCAACACATTGTGAGGTGAGCATTTAGGACCATTTTTAAAATAATTTTTTCACTATTCAGTTTAAACTTTCAAGATTAAATGTTATCAAATGTCTAATAGCAGGGATATGCTTGTTTGATATAGTGGGTGTAATGAATATTTATTATAGGCCTCAAGAATTATATTGCCTGTGAAATTCTAGAAAAACATGTTATTTATTTTATATAAACATTTTAGAGAGTACTAGGAATCTTCTTTTCATCAATATTAGTGTAATTTTCTAGCAAGTCTCAGAGACCAAATGAAAAACTTTATTGTGGCCCTTATGTACTTTTCTCCCATGACCTTTAGAGACCTCTCTGATTATTAGCATAACATTTTCTCCCCTCTTAGGTCCCATTTACCCTTCAACAGCCTCATTTACATTTGACTTACTCACTCAGCAATACTGAAGAGCTTCATAGAAAGAAAATAGACTGTATATGGACAGAAAAACTAAGCAATAGTTCTAGATTTGTCTGTGTGTGGGAAGGGGGGTTTAATATCGTTATTTTCATTCATATCAACATCTTTCTGAGGCTTACCGCTTTTCTTTTATTCACTGTTCATGTTAGCCTAGATTTCTCATAGTTTTTATTTCCCAATCTTTTTCTTTTCCAAATAGGAGTAAAGTCTGTAATTAGTTTTATTTGGTTTCCTTTCTTTCTAAATCTTTTCTTACATTCAAACAGTATTTATTTATTGTTATAAATAACAGAATATCATGGGAATCATTTTGCTAACATCTTAAACTGACTGTCAGATAGGCTCATCAAGTCACCAGAGTGTAGTATTATTTTCAATAACAAAAACTGCAATTACTTTTGCACCAACCTATAATTAAGTACTAATTACACTCAGGAAAGACCAAGCAATTTACTTATTTGGGTCTGCAAACACTTGAACGTACTATAGAAAGTTACATCACTGATGTTGGAATCATTTCAGATAACTTCAGACTGCCTCCTTGCAGTTATTTCATGTTTTGTCCTTCACAAAAGTTTTAATTAGATGGATGAAAGTTGGCTCACAAATCATAAACAAGGAAAAAGAAGTCAGCATGAATTTTTACACAAATTAGGGCAGAATGATTCAGATTGGAAAAGGAAATAAATAACTAAAAAATGCATTTTAGATTAAAAATAATTTTAACGTAACTGAATTGAGATGTGCAAATATACTTTGAAAACTGTCTGATGAAAATAGATCTAAAGGCAAATCCTGAATAACAGCAGGGTCCCGAGTATAATAGAAAAGTCAATGAGAAAAATAATTATAGCTGTAAATCCACTAGTTTATAGTAGGTTTAAAGAAACATTTCTTTCATATAAAAAGACTGAACTGTTTTTTTTTTTTTTTTAACCTGGTAGGCAATGGCTTAGAGAAAGCTCATTAAGCTGTTTTATTTTTTTCTGTGTCCCTGCTTCAGTCGGATGACAATTTAATTATGAATATGATGATTTATGACATCAATAGATACATATTAAAAGTAAATTTGTGTCTTTTAAAGTGTAGTTTGTAAAATGGATTGGTTTGATGGTGGGTGATAAATACACAGAGATTATTTAATAGATGTGTTTGCCTATTGAAAATCCAAGTAAAGATTGTATTTCATGTGCTAGAAAATAGATAGGTATAGGGAATAATGATAAGGAAGTTAATATTTTGCCTACCACAATTGTTCAGTTGAACTTCTTTCTTTCTTTTGCAAAGGTATTGCTAGCTTGTGTCAACTGATTCTGATGGTCAAATATTTTTATAAATACCTTCAGGAGAATTTCATAGTGATCTTAAAAACTACAAAGAAAAAGGTACTATAACAAGTTTTTAGAACAAGTAAGTCTTGAATTCTGATATGACATGGCATCCAAATCTTGTACTATTTCAGCCTTTGACTGAGTGGTTACCTTAAGGGATTAAGGCATATGATCTTTTCAAAATAAAATCAATTGTCATCAGAAGATCTATTTTGCACATTTCTTTTAGAACATTTCAGTTGTCATAAGTAAAATATGCAGGTGAAATGTATAAATAATAAAAGTAGAGACATTAAAATCCAAGCCTTTCTATTTTCATAGTGGTAAAAAACAGAGATCACTATAAAATAGAAATTTAGCCATGTCTGTAAAATTCCAGGAAAGTAACTAAAGTTACTTTAAAAAGTTTCATTTATTTATCATAATTATTAAAAACGTTTGAAGTTTTTCTTATAATTTAGGTGATTAATACATATTGTTCTTATAAACTCTAATTGGCTTAGAACTGAGTTATGGGGAAATTCTGTAGAATTTTATTTCAATTTACTTTATGCCAATAAAATAAAATTCAACTTCAGCAGAAATCTACAGTATGCTCATGTATTAGAAGAAAATTATTACGAAGATATGCCTTTATCTTAATTTTGTGTATTAACATAAGTTCCCTAAAATTCCAAATGAGTATTTATTAATATTGAAAAATATCTTAAAAATCTATGTGAAACAACAAATAAGAAACAATGACAAAGCAATTTAAACAAGAATATAATATATATGAATATAATACATATGAATATATATACACAATTACATATGTGCATAAATATTACATAATATGTATTTGTGGTATAAACATAGTTAATATAGTAAATATTACATATGTACACACATAATATTTATTATATTTAGTATGCTTATTATTAAGATATTATTAAGATATATATCTTCTCAATAATATCTACAATGTATCAATACAATAGAATTTTTACATAATAGTAAAATAGTACAATAGAGCTTGTCATACAAACTCTGAGGTTTTATAATATATATTTTGAGGGAAATAGTCATGCATTTCATTCATTCGTGTGTATAGTTTCTAAAATACCAGGAGGTTTGTAGTATTTTATGGTGAAAGATTCCCTTACTGCCATGTAAAGAGTTCAGTGAACTGTGCCAAAAAATTATGTCAAATTGATAAAGAGAGAGCCACTGACTAGACTAGACAAGGCCCCATATCCACGGCTCCACAAGGACGGAGATAATAGAAGTAGAACCAACTGGGAAGAAATACGTTAAGTGCTATTGCAAAAGCTTTATGCTAGCTTGTCATTTCTTTTATATAAGTGTCTTTTCATTATTAAATTTTTCCTGTCTGCACCAAAACTTCCTGCTGAAGGAATTCTTACTGATTCAGTAAGAGGTATGTTTGAGTGTTCATATTAGAAACACTAAATTCCTTCTTCTAAGTCCTCCTGCAGTTTATATATCCCTTAATTACACCAATAATCATTTGGCAGGCAGTATTTTTAGTTGTGGACATGTCCTATATGTCTCATTAGATTGTATTTCTTGACAACACGGAACATGTGATATTATATTACACATTAAAAAAAATTTATATGAGGCATAGAATATTTCCTTATAAATACTACAAGACCAATAGATGTTTCTTTAGTTGTGCTATTTTTACATATCAATCCTAAAGGCATCGGATACATTTGTCACTTTTGATAACTGCCAACTAATTAATATTTTTATGCATATTCTTCACAGAGTTCCCACGGATTTATAAGAAGGTTCGACTATGCTTTTCCCGGATAAAACGTGTCTCTTTCCCTTTCATTGCCATCTGCTGGATGACAATCCTTTATTCTGATACAGTCATCTTTACAAATGACTAACCAAAGGTCTGTTTTGAAAGATCAGCAGAAATAGGTACTGTGATTATAATTTTAAAAAATTACAGTGTTTTTTAAATCAATGATCTGTTGTTGCTACTGCCCAAGAACTACTAATCTTTGAAAAACTTGGGACTACTTAGTTCAATTGATATTTCTGAGAGCTTCCTGTGCCATATAGGCATTTTTTTCTCATTTACATCTCACTATTCATTTATTAGAAATTCACTTTTTTTCCTCTGCATAAACATGAAATACACCTTTCAATCCATATTGTGTATCTTTTGCTTTTACGAAGGCAGTCGTCAGTGTGAGGAAAGACAGATAAGCCAGACAGTTATTTTTCAAAGAAAGAAGTGACAATCTTTTGTTCTGGAATGCTATTTGCATTTATGAGATTTTTTTATGTGTCTATCAGACCTAGTTAGCAGTACAGTGCTCAATGTTTCAGAATGTGCCTGCATTTTCCATCCTTGATGACCTTTTGACATGGCCTCTATGTGATTTAAAGGAAAGGCTCTCAATCTCTCCATCACCCCAGTGGCTGACATTTATAAATATATGAAAATATAGAAAAGATAAAAGTGAAAATTAAGGATTTGTGCAGTGAATTTTGGAAAAGGAAGATAATATGAATGAATAAGGCTTAATAGCTTTAAGATCTAAACATTGATTAGGAAGCCTGTAAAACTTTAACAATAACAAGACATTAATTGCCTGAAACATACAGATTACTCACCTCTAAATTCACCAGACATTAAAATATTATAATTACATATAATAGTTATAATATAATATATAGTTATATGTATTTTACATATATATAGAAAGAGATCTATTTACTTTCTTTTTCTCATCTTTGAAAACTATAGCTCATCAAGGTGATGAAAGGAAGCATACTTTTTTTTTTCATTTTTATCCAAGTTTGTGCTTTCACTGTTTGGTAGCTTTATTACTGGGAATAAATTTTGCTTACCAGTTCTCTCTTTTCTACCAGATACATTTCAGAAAAGCCACAGGGAGTAGTTTGCATCCTCTGTCCACAGGGGTGGTGGTACTGGTTCTTTTGGAACTGCATGACTTGGACTATCTACAGTTGTAGTAGTTTCATAATTGCCTATTTTCAGGAAAAGCATATCATTCTAAGGGTTATTTTGTACTGATTGTACAATGTAGTTTTCCATTAGCTCATTCTCTGGTTGTATGAAAAATGAAGTAAATAATTTTATTCTAGTTTTCTTCCTCATGAATAAAATTTGCACATCCTAATTTCAAATCTATACATATTTGTTTTACTGCAAATTTTCAAATACTTATGATAGAATCAAGTATTATACACTGAAGCAGAATGAGCCCTAAGAAGATTTAGGAAATCTGGGTCATGTTCTAGTTTAATCTACATTTTTTTTCCCTAAGGACTTATTTTATTTCCAACAATCAATGGTCACATATCCACTACTACCATCCAGTCACCTTGCAAGTGCATTCCATTGTCCAAAACTATGCTCAACATAATCAAACTAGTCAAAACTCCTACATATCTTTACAAATAGGAGCATATACATATTGTATCTCCTATAAATTATGTATAAACGTAGATCAGGGTTTGAAAATATTCAATTTGATTAAAAATCCCTACATTTATCTACTCTTATGTGAGACAACTAATTAAGCAACATTTTACTAACATTAATTCCACCCTACCTTATTATACATTACAGTAATAAAAACAGTAAAGCCAGTATGGCTGACAGCCATCATCGTGTGCTACACACCATCCTATTTTAAATGTATAAATGGTTATGAAGGCATGTCATATAAAATTGTATAAATATTTGATGAGAAATTCATTTAAAAAACAATTCTTTATTATACAAATATTAGAATGTCACCTTGGACTTCAGTCTCCCAAGTTATTTTTTAATTTACTTTTATTGCATATATTTAAGGTATACATCATGATGTTTTGATATATGTATATATAATGAAATAATTACCAAAGTCAAGCAAATTACCATATCCATCATCTTATATAGTTACTTTGTGTGTGTGTGGAAAAGGTACTTAAAATCTATTCTCATAGTAAATTTCTAGAATACCATCCAATACTGTTAGCTATGGTCTTCATGCTTTAGGTTAGATATTTCAGTTTATTTATTCTACGTAACTAAAACTTTATATTCTTTGACCACAGGGGTCTGAATAGCACTTCAGAAAAAGTACCAAAATAGCTTACAGAAGCTTTTGCTACTAAAATTATCTATTTCATTTTAAACTCCCTTATGAACCAAATAACAAAATTAATACAATGAAAAATGTATTATTTTGTATGCTTCCTGTTTAAATGCATCACCATAAACAATTTCTGGTTGTCCTGCTACTATGACTGAAAATGCACTATTTTATGGGAAACATCCTTCATTCTCAAGAGATCAAATATTCCATGTTGCAAAAATGCTAGATAAAATTATTTGAAACTTTTCACACCATAGCAATTTTGTTTGGGCCTAGGTGGAAGGATCACTTGAGGCCAGGAGTTTGAGACCAGCCTGGGCATAGCAAAGTGTTGTCTCTCCAAAAAAAAAAGTAAAAAAATAAAAGAATGAATGTTAAGCCAATAGAACATTTCTTGTAAAACATACTTTTGCACCTTAATTATCTATGACTGTACATGTATCTATTTTGTTTTACTTAGATGACACTTGAAAACTAAAATAGACCTTATTTGGAAGCATTATTACAGAGTATAGTTATGAAATCTGCCCTTTGATTAATGAATAGGTCCAGTGTTTTAGGTCTTGTAGCTGTTTGTGACTACCTTTTCACTTATAAGCTGGTTGACACATTTGTTCAATTACAGCTACCTTGTTTCTAATTGCTACATGTCACTTTGATTGATTGTTGTCAGTTTCTAGCAGTCAGCAACAATGCTTCATTGCTTCATGTCACGAATCAGTACATATTTACTTGATTTCTCCTGCCTACCAGAAAGTGGCTGCTTGGAAATTCTATTATCATGAACCAATCATTATCTAGCTCAGTTGATCTGAGATTGAATACATATCACTTCAAGGTTAGGGATCTAAAGTAAGTAGGTTTAAAATTCATATTTTCAAAGCTAACTAAATATTGGACAGTTAGCACATTTTAGTTGAATTGATAAAACATATTCTAAGAAGAGTGTATTTGTGAGCCTTTGTGTTGAGTCACTTGCTTTCTTTGTATGAAGTATTTCTCTACAGGACTTTTTTAGGATTTAATGATATTGTAAATGAAATAGGCTTGACATATAGTTTGCCATACATTAGGTGCTTAGTGAAACCTATTTTCTTATTTTCTTTCACTAGCTGATATTAGTCAGTTTGAATATTTAGACAATAGAGATTTGATATTGAAAATCCAATGTCTGCAGCAAAGTTAGTTGTAGTATGAGCACAAAGCTGATTCAGAAATTTATCATAATATCTTCCTTGAAAAAGAGTTACAGCTCTTCAAAGGGCAAGAGGACTTTATTATTTATTTTAAAGGACACATATTATTGAATATACATAATAGGTTATAGAACACATTACTTACACATGTATGGGTTTAAATGTAGCTTTATAATTTCAAAAAAAATTAAAATTAGAATGCATAATAAAATTGAGTATCATTTGGCCACTGGAAAATACATACAACTCTAAAGCAGTGAATTCTAGATCCCCTACCACTGAAAAAGCATTTATATAAAAAGAAAATATTAGGTGAAAAAGTCCCAAAATGCTTCACCTATACTAAAATGAACAGTAATTAAAAATAGTCCTCCTTTTTCATGCATAAAATTATTAAGTAATCACTAGAGTTACTGATTGAGAGAAAAAAGACAGAAAGTTTTTCTTTTTTTGCAAATGACACTTAGATATCCCAATAATTTGACTTCCAATGAGAATAACTGAGTTGTAAGAAAAGGGATAATTTCCTTTCATTTTATTTTTCTTCCCAATTGATCAGGGTTCTTAACATTAATAAATGTGTAATGAGTAAGTGTAGTTATTCTCATTAATATTCTAGTACAAAATATTTTTACTAGGTTTTGGTAATAAGTCAGAAAGTAGATAGGGCAACATTATTTTTTAATTCAGGTATCTAATTTTAAAAGCTGATTTTTTTTAAAGATGCAGACTTTAATGCTGTTTTAGATGTAGATTTTCATAAAACATTTTAAATCTTAACTCTTTGAAAATGGAAGCATCCACCATGCATATACTGGCTTAGATATCATATAAATAAATGGAAAAATACTTAGAGTAGTGGAATGGGTACAGTAATGGAATTTCTCACATATGGGCTCAAATCCCAGTTCTGTCCCTTGTTAAGTGAGTAATTTGGGAAATGTACTTAATAACACAAAAGCCATATATTTTATAATATTTTATAATTAGAGAAGATAAATTTTGTATAATGGGTATCAGTAAAGGCTTATTTCTTCATTATTTTAGAAGGACAGGGTTGGAATTCTAGTTAAGAGGTTTGCATAATAGTCCATTATAGAAAGAATGTAGGATGGAACTACGAACATACAGTTCAGAGACAAAAAATATCAAGAGCCATCAAGGTTTTCTCGGCTTAGAATTGATGTACTTTGATGGCTGATTGGATTTTTAGAGGAGCAAGAATAAGGAATAAAAAAGAACTCCAGGGTTTTGAATTTTTGTGACTAGAAAAACTGTGATATCTTCAGATCAGCATAAATAGAAAGCTGATTGGAAATTCAGGTTAAGAATGCCGTTTGAAACTAGTCTCGGTATTTGACCTTCCTGAAATCCAGTGAAATAAGCTAAACATGGTAAGATCAAATGAAATAAAGCAACTCAAGTGATAATTTTAAAAAGGAGAATATTCTAATCTCTTATACTTGTAAACATTGGATTTCATTGTAGAAGATCCTTGAGTAAAGGAGAAGTATACTTCTCTACTCCTTGGTAATATAGAATTGAGTTTACAGTATCCCAGATTCTTATTAATATTATTTCTAAATCTGGAGAGAAACATATCATTTGCTTTTTCATTTTTTGTTAAGAATTAGTGGAAAGAACTTATGCAAATATGTCTGTATACTGGGGAAAACAAATGAAGGAAATTTTTGTTTTTTCCTGAACAAGGTAAATCCTTCAGGGCTATTCTTAAACTGGGTAAATAATTGAGATCACATAAAAATTGGTCTTCCTCCCTTGCTCTTGACATTTATGAGAATGAACTCCAGTACAGATATTTTTACAACTATCAGAAGAAAAAGCATAGCCCATTTGTTCTAAAATAGACCACAGCGTTATCAACACAACTAAGAATTTTCACCTCCTCTCATCATCCGTTCTAAGGGATACTTAGCCTCAAACTAACTATAGCTCAGAGGAGAAAATAAACTGTCCTCAGTGGGAAGGATGACAAGAATTCTTACATAGTCAGAGCAAATTTCAGTGTCAGACAATTTGAACTTTAAAATTAGAAAGAAAAATAAAGAGAAGATAAGCCACTAAAAATCTAATCACTGTCACAGTGGAAAGGCTTGAGATGATCATAGTCGCTGCAAATACATTTAAAAACAAAACATTTAAACAAATAAAGGAATATTGTAATATATTTCTAGAATGCAGATGTCCAAAGTGAACAATAGAATTTTCTTAAAATGAAGAAAAACTGCACATAAATATCTAAAAAGAATCCTAAAGAATATAATAAAACTGAGAAATTTAACAAATGTAAAGGAAGTTAAATTGTTAAAAACTCTAACAAAATTGAGATTGGAGAAAGAAAAAAAATATTTGGCAATCCAGGAAGGAAAACAAATTGCTCCATGGGTAAAAATTATCATAGTTCTTTCAAATCTCTTTAAAAACAAAACAAAACAAAGCAGACTAACAGAAGGAATGTCAGAAGACAATGTGACAAAGTCTACAATGTCTGAAGGAGAAAATACCTTGAAAAGTTTATAACCAGTATATGGGCCTTGCAGGAATAAAATAGACTGAATGACTGGCTCAACATGAACAAGCTCAATAAATACAGCACCTCTGTGCTCTTCTGGGTGGGATGGGAGATTGTCTACTTAACCACTACATCTATTCAGATAAAAGATTAATTAAATATTGAATTTGGTAAAGCTGTGGTTGTGTTAAAGAACTAGTGGTAAGGTTTGAATCTATACTATTTCTCTGCAATGATACTCAGTGTTCCTGATTTGGGTCATGGGATTCGATCTGATATTTCCCTTTTATCCTCATACTTTTTGAAATGCTTCAAATATTTATAATGGAAAGATGCTATTTTTATAAAAAATAATTGAGGAGTTATGCTTAAAAATAAAAAAGTGGTAAAAACCATACCACAGTACTTGTTGTGATTCAATCGAGTGATAGGGAAATGGGTATTGTACTTTTCTGCTGTGTTTTATTTTATTTATTTATTTATTTTTGAGACAGAGTTTTGCTCTTGTTGCCCAGGCTGGAGTGCAATGGTGCTATCTCCGCCCACTACAACCTCTACCTCCCTGGTTCAAGGAATTCTCCTGTCTCAGCCTCCCGAGTATCTGGGATTATAGGCATGTGCCACCATGCCCAGCTAATTTTTTGTATTTTCAGTAGAGACGGAGTTTCTCCATGTTGGTCAGGCTGGTCTCAAACTCCCGACCTCAGGTGATCTGCCCGCCTAGGCCTCCCAAGTGCCGGGATTACGGTCATGAGCCACCATACCGGCTGTGTTTTATTTTAAGAACATCCAAATTTTTTTCAAAAATTAGTGGAGGATATGTAAGATTGAGTTGTCTTTAATATACTTTAATGGAGATGCTTATCAGGCATTTGGGAACATGAAGTTCAAGATGTGAGATGCAGATTTGATAAACATTTGACAGGAAGTGAAAATGGAAGAAAGGGGGTAAAGACTGTTTCAGAAAGTACCAGCAAAGGACAATTTGAGTATTTGAGAACAGAGACCTAGGTCATTGCTGCATTTAAGAAGCAGATGGTAGAGCAAAATCAGAAAATACCAGAAAACTTGCTCACTTACCCCTTAAAATCATGAACAGAAAAAAATCATAAACGGTAGCAGAGCAGCTTGTTTTTCTAATGTAATGTATTTTCTACATCAAGGGAATGTATTTCTTCTTTATTAATTAGCGTGTCTTATCAATGATTAGCCTAATCTATTGAGGTTCAGTAGGGCAAATTCCCTTTTTGCAAACATTTTATTGTTTAGTATATGTATTAATTCGCTAGTTCTCGTTGCTTTCTGGATGGTGTTCTTTGCTTCAATAACTGTTTAGAGTATTAAATTTAACACACAGATCTTTCTTCTATTGATTTCTGGTTCCCACACTTGAAATTCCAAGTTCTGCCCTTGAATTTACTCCCACTCTGTTATACTGGGTTCTCAGTAAATTTATTCAGCTCACTCTCAATCCAGTTTCCAGCAGGAAATTGAAGACACAAGAAAGAACCACTTTCTGTTTGTTTTCATATATGTAGATAAAGTATACCATATTTGTATTATATATTTTATTTGATATGTTTAAATACATAATATATTAAATAAGTTTTACATCTAAAATATATATTATATATTACATTTATTTATTTATATATAAAATTGCTATTTTGGCTGACTAGATTATAATAATGAAGATGAAATAGATTGTATTGTATAAATTTACAGCTCACTTAAACTTTAACTAACATTCTCTGTTTTAGTTATCTAAACATGATATGCCACAAATTGACTTAAGATTTTATTTAAGAGTGTATTTCCTTTAAAAAAATTACTTTGCTTTGTTTAGTAAAAAGTCCTTATTAGATCTGAACACATCTAAAACTATCTGATGTCTGTTATATTGGTTTTTAAATACAGCCATTTTATTACTGAAATCATCCACTTTTTTAATCTAAGTTCTTACATAACAGATAAATATATGCAACTAGTCATTATATTAGGATACATTTGTTTTACTGTTTGGAAATCAGACTAAAATTTAAAGTAGCTTTTATTGCAAAGCTAGCACTAAACTGTAGGCTTCAACAGCTAAGAATGAATTTTAAACTCATATTGTTACCTGGATAGTTAGAACTTAAAATCAGATGATTCAAGGGAAGGAATATTAAGTAACTCTCTTTTATTCTAATGTATGAAAAAACTATTAAATTATCATCTAAATTCTATATTTAAGTTTCCAATACTTTTATATTGTTGAAATTTATTTATCAATGAGTATGTGTAATGGCTTAAATAGGCAAAATAGTTTTTTTTCTTTCAATGTAATATTTAAGTTAAAAATTGAGAATAGCATCTCTTTTACATGGTTAAGCAAACACTATTTTTAAAAAATCAGTTTGACAACCTTAATAAAAAGCACAACTAAAATTTACATTCAGATACTCATATTATCAATGACCTAGTCCCAGTCAAAGAAATTCTAATTTAAAAAAAAATAATTTCAATAGGTTTTGGGGAATATGTGGTGTTTCATTACATGAATAAGTTCTTTAGTGGTCATTTCTGAGATTTTGGCGCACCCATCCCTGTACCCAGTGTATAGTCTTTTGTCCCTTACACCCCTTCCACCCTTTCCGCAGAGACCCCAAAGTCCATTGTATCATTCTTATGCCATTGCGTCCTCATAGCTTAGCTCCTACTTATGAGTGAGAACATACGACGTTGATGATTGGGTTTCCATTCTTGAGGTACTTTGCTTAAAATAACAGTCTGCAATTCCATTCAAGTTGCTGCAAATGCCATTATTTCATTCATTTTTATGGCTGAGTAGTACTCCACAGTGTATATATAAAATATATGATATCTTATTATATATTATATATTTAATATATACATATAATATACCATATAATAATATATAATATTTATTATTATATATTATGTATAATTATATAACAATTATATATAAGATATGGTTATATATTATATAAAATTAAATATATAATTATGTATTTGTATATAATTAATATATCAATTATATATAATAAATAATTTAGTATATTATTTATATAATATTATGTAATATTAAATATCTAATATACAATATTAGACATTGTATACATATATAATTACACTTTACATATAATCATATATGTAATATGATATATTATATAATATATAATTATATGTAATATGATATATTATATAATATATAATTATATGTAATATATAATTATATAATATGTGATAAATTATATATACAAAATAATATATATAATGTATGAAATATATTATATATAGTATATACTATCATATAGTATATATCATATATATTAATTATATACATAATATATAATATTTATACATTCTACATAATGTTTATATAATGTATAATTTATATATAATATGCAATATATAATATATAATATTTTAATACATTTATATAAAATATAATATATATATCTCATATATATACCATTTTCTTTAACCACTTATTGATTGATGGGCATTTGGGCTGGTTCTATACTTTTGCAATTGCAAATAGTGCTGCTATAAATATGTGTGTGCACATATCTTTTTGGTATAATGACTTATGTTCCTCTGGGTAAATAACCAGTAGTGGGATTGCTGGATCAACTGGTAGATCTACTTTTAATTCTTTAAAGAATTTACGCACTTTTCCATAGTGGTTGTACTAGTTTACATTCCCACCAGTAGGGTTAAACTGTTCTCTTTTTACCACATCTAGTCCAACATCGATTTTTTTTTATTCTCTTATTATTGCCATTCTTGCCAGTGTGAGGTGGTATTGCATTATGGTTTTGGGTGCATTTCTCTGCTCATTGGTGATGTTGAGCATTTTTTCATATGTTTATTTGCCATTTGTTCATCTTCTTTTGAAAATTTTCTATTCATGCCTTTAGCTCACTTTTTGATGAGATTGTTTGTTTTGTTCTTGCTCATTTGTTTGAGTTCCTTGTAGATTCTGGATATTAATCTTTTGTTGGATATCCAGACCGCAAAGATTTTCTCCCACTGTGGGTTGTCTGTTTACTCTGTTGATTGTTTCTTTTGTTGTGTAGAATCTTTTGAGGTTAATTTATTCCATCTATTTATTTTTGTTTCTGTTTAATTTGCTTTTGGGTTCTTGGTCATAAAGTCATTGCCTATGCCAATGTCTAGAAGGGTTTTTTCTGATATTATCTTCTAGAATTTTTATGGGTTCAGATCTTATGTTTAAGTCCTTAATTTATCTTGAGCTTATTTTTGTACAAGGTGAGAGATTAGGACACAATTTCTTTCTTCTACATGTGGCTTGCCAATTATCCCAGCACCATTTGATGAACAGAATGTCCATTCCCCAATTTGTTTTTGTTTGCTTTGTTGAAGATGAGTTAGCTGTAGGTATTTGAGTTTATTTCTGGTTTCCTTAATCTGTTCCATTGTTATATGTGCCTATTTGTACAACAGTATTATGCTGTTTTGGTGACTATAACCTTACAGTAAAGTGTGAAGTTGAGTAATATAATGCCTCCAGAATTGTTCTTTTTTCTTAGTCTTGCTTTGGCTATGGAGGCTTTTTTTTTTTTTTTTTTTTTTTTTTTTTGGTTTCACAGGAATTTTAGGATAGTTTTTTCTAGCGCTGTGAAGAATGATGGTGGTATTTTGATGCAAATTGCATCAAATTTATAGATTGCTTTTGGCAATATTGTCATTTTCACAATATTGATTCTACCCATCCATGAGCATGGAATGTGTTTCATTTGTTTGTGCTGTTATTTCTCTCAGCAGTGTTTTGTAGTTGTCCCTGTAGAGGTCTTTCACCTCCTTGGTTAAGTATATTCCTAAGTATTTTATTTTAATTTTTTTGCAGGTATTGTAAAAGGGATCGAGTTCTTCATTTGATTCTCAGCTTGGTTGCTGTTGCTTTATAGTAGGGCTACTAATTTGGGTACATTAATTTTGTTTCCTGAAGCTCTGCTGAACTCACTTACTATATCTAGGAGATTTTTGGATGAGTCTTCAGGATTTCCTAGGTATATGATCATGTCATCAGCAAACAGCAACAGGTTGACTTCCTCTTCATTGATTTGGATGCCCTTTACTTTTATTTTTCCTGTCTGATTGCCCTGGTTAAGACTTCCAGTACTGTTCTGAATGCAAGTGGTGGAAGTTTGCATCCTTGTCTTGTGCCAGTTCTCAGGGGGGATGCTTTCAACTTTTCCCTATTCTACATAATGTTGGCTGTGGGTTTGTCATAGATAGCTTTTATTACCTTAAGGTATGTCCCTTCTATGTTGATTTTGCTGTGAGTTTTAATCATAAAGGGATGATGTATTTTGTGAAATTCTTTTTCTGTATCTATTGAGATGCTCGTGTGATTTTTGTTTTTAATTCTATTTATGTGGTGTGTCACATTTATTTACTTTTGTATGTTAAACCGTCCCTGCATTTCTGGTATGAAACCCACTGGATCATGGTGGATTATCTTTTTGATATGCTGTTGGATATTCTTTTTGATATGCTGTTGGATTCAGTTAGCTAGTATTTGGTTGAGAATTTTTGCATCTATGTTCATAAGGGATATTGGCCTATAGTTTTTTTTATGTCCTTTTCTGGTTTTGGTATTAGGGTGATACTTCATAGAATGATTTAGGAAGGATTCTTTATTTCTCTATGTTTTGTAATAGTGTCAATAGGATTGGTACCAATTATTTGAATATCTGATAGAATTCAGCTATGAATCTCTCTGGGCCTGGCCTTTTTTTTTACTTGGCAAATTTTTAATTACCATTTCAATCTTGCACTTGTTATTTGTCTGCTCAGAGTTTCTATTTCTTCCTGGTTTAAACTAGGAGGGTGATATATTTCCAGGAATTTGTCCCTCTTCTGTATGTTTGCTAGTTTATCTGCATAAAGGCATTCATAATAGCCTTGAATGATCTTTTGTATTTCTGTGGAATCAGTTGTAGTGTCTCCCATTTTATTTTAATTGAGCTTATTTGGATCTTCATTCTTCTTTTTTTGGTTAATCTCATGAATGATCTATCAATTTTAATTAATTTTTCAAAGAATCAGGTTTTTGTTTCATTTATCTTTTATTTGTTTTAATTTCATTTAGTTCTGCTCTGATCCTGGTTATTTCTTTTCTTCTGCTAGGTTTTGGTTTTGTTTGTTTTTGTTTCTCTAGTTTCTTGATGTGTGACCTTAGATTAACTATTTGTCCTCTTTCAAAGTTGTTTTTTTTTTTTTTTTTTAAACAGAGTCTCGCTCTGTCACCCAGGCTGGAGTGCAATGGTGTGATCTTGCCTCACTGCAACCTCCACCTTCTGGGTTCAAGCGATTCTCCTGCCTCAGCCTCCTGACTAGCTAGGATTACAGGTGCACACCACCACGCCTGGCTAATTGTATTTTTAGTAGAGACGAAGTTTCACCATGTTGGTCAGGCTGGTCTCAAACTCCTGACCTCGTGATTTCCCCCGCCTTGGCCTCCCAAAGTGCTGAGATTACAGGTGTGAGCCACTGCATCCAGCCTCAAAGTTTTTGATGTAGGCATTTAATCCTATGAACTTTCCTCTTAGCACCACTTTTGCTGTATCCCAGAGGTTTTGATAGGTTTTGTCACTATTATCATTCAGTTTAATTATAATTATCATTCAGTTTAAATTTAAAAATTTAAATTTAATTAAACTTAAATTTAAATTTAAATTTTTAAATTTCCATCTCGATTTCATTGTTGACCCAATGATCATTCAGAAGCAAGTTATTTTATTTCCATGTATTTGAATGGTTTGGGGGTGTCGTTTTGTAGTTCATGTCCAATTTTATTCCACTGTGGTCTGAGAGAGTACTTGATATAATTTTGACTTTCATAAATTTGTTGAGACTGTTTTGTGGCCTATTATATGGTCTATCTTGGAGAACGTTCTGTGTGCTGATGAATAGAATGTATATTCTGCAGCTGTTGGGTAGAATGTTCTGTAAATATCTGTGAAATCCATTTGTTCTAGGGTATAGTCTAAGTCTATTCTTTCTTTGTTGACTTTCTGTCTTGATGACCTGTCCAGAGCTGTCAGTGGAGTATTAAAGTCCCCCACTATTATTATGTTGCTGTTTATCTCATTTCTTAGGTATAGTAGTAATTGTTTTATACGTTTGGGAGCTCCAGTGTTAGGTGCATATATATTTAGGATTGTGATATTTTCCTGTTGGACTAGTCCTTTTATCATTATATAATGTCCGTTTTGTCCTTTTTAACTTCTGTTGCATTAAAGTTTGTTTTGTCTGATATAAGAATAGCTAATCATGCCTGTTTAGGTGCCCCTTTGCGTGGAATATTTTTTCCCACCCCTTTACCTTAAGTTTATATGAGTCCTTATGTGTCAGGTGAGTCACTTGAAGACAGTAGATGCTTGGTTTGGTGAGTTCTTATCCATTCTGCCATTCTACATCTTTTAAGTGAAGCATTTAGGCCATTTACGTTCAACAATGGTATTGAGATGTGAGATACTATTCTATTCCTCATGTTATTTGTTGCCTGAATACCTTGTATCTTTTTTCATTGTGTTATTTCTTTATTTTTATTTTTTGTAGATCCTATGAGATTTATGCTTTAAGAAGATTCTAGTTTGTTGTATTTTGAGGATTTGTTTCAAGATTTAGAGCTTCTTTTAGCAGTTCTGGTAGTGCTGGCTTGATAGTGCTGAATTCCCTCAGCATTTTTTTGTCTGAAAAAAGACTGTTATCTTTCCTTCATCTACAAAGCTTAGTTTTGCTGGATACAAAATTTTTGGCTGATAATTGTTTTGTTTAAAGAGGCTAAAGATAGGACCCCAGTCTCTTCTAGTCTGTAGGGTTTCTGCTGAGAAATCTGCAGTTGATTTTCCTTTATAGGTTACCTGATGCTTTCGACTCACAGCTCTTAATATTCTTTCCTTTGTCTTGACTTCAGATAACCTGACGCCTATGTGCCTAGGCAATGATCTTTTTGCCATGAATTTCCAATGTGTTATTTGAGCTTCTTTTTAATTTGAATATCTAGATCTCTAGCAAGGCCAGGGAAGGCTTCCACAATTATTCCCTCAAATATGTTTTCCAAACTTTTAGATACATTTTCTTCCTTGGGAGCACCAATTATTCTTAGGTTTGGTCGTTTAACATAATCCCAAATTTCTTGTAGGCTTTGTTCATTTTTTAAAATTCTTTTTTCTTTGTCTTCGTCAAATTGGGTTCATTCAAAAGCTTTACCTCTGAGCTCTGAAGTTCTTTCTTCTACTTGTTTGATTCTATTGTTGAAACTTTCCAGTGTATTTTGCATTTCTCTAAGTGTGTCCTTGATTTCCAGAAGTTGTGATTGTTTTTTATTCATGCTATTTATTTCATTGGAGATTTTTTCATTCATATCCTGTATCAATTCTTCTTTTTTTATTTCTTTAAGTTGGACTTTACCTTTCTCTGGTGCCTCCTTGATTAGCTTAATAATAGACCTTCTGAATTCTTTTTCTGGCAATTCAGAGATTTCATCTTGGTTTGGATCAATAGCTGATGAGCTAGTGTGATCTTTTGGGGGTATTAAAGAACCTTGTTTTATCATATTACCAGAATCGTTTTTCTGGTTCTTTCTCATTTGGGTAGACTATGTCAGAGGGAAGATCCGGGACTCAAGGACTGCTGTTCAGAATCTTTTGTCCCACGGGTGCTCTTTAAATGCAGTCCTCTACCTTTTTCCCTAGGGATGGGGCTTCCTGAGAGCCATACTGATGTGATTGTTACTTCTCTTCTGGATCTGGCCACCCAGCAGAGCCACTGGGTTCTGAACTGGTAATGGGGAGTGTCTGCAAAGAGTCCTGTGATGTGAGCCGTCTTCAGGTCTCTCATTCATGATACCAGCACCTACTCTGGTGGAGGTAGCAGTGGAGTGAAGTGGACTCTGTGAGGGTCCTCATTGATTTTTTGTTTAGTACACTGGTTTTGTGTTGGTAGTCCTCTAGCCAGGAGTTGGAGCTTTGAAGAGGGCATCAGCTGCCGTTGTATAGGGAAGATACAAGCTTGCCCTAGGGTCAGGTGGGGGGCGGGGCCATTGAGCTTCCAAGAGATTATGTCCTTTGTCTTTGGCTACCAGGGCAGGTAGAGAAAGACCCTCAGGTGGGGGCAGGGTTAGGACTGTCTGAGCTGACTCTCCTTGAGTGGGGCTTGCTGCTGCTGCTGTGTGGGTGGGATAGGGGTGTGGTTCCCAGGGAATAGAGTTATGTTCCCAGGGGGATTATGGCTGTCTCTTCTGTGTCAGACAGGTCACCAGGAAAGTCAGGGAAAGCCGGCAGCCACAGACCTCACCCTGCGCCCATACGGCTCTCAGCCAGAAAGGCCAGTCTCACACCCACCATGCCCCCAACAACAGCATAGATTTTATTTTCATACAGCCAGTGAGCAGGGCTGAGAACTTGCCCCAGGCTACAAGCCTCCCATCTTAGAAAGCAGTCCCACTCACAGTTCCTTAGCTGTCCCACAGAGCCTGCAGTGGAAATCTACCTCCTCCAAAGAGTCTGTTTCTCTGGGCTTTCCTCGTATGTTTCTGTGATAGTTCTTGGAATAAAAGTTCACAATGTGGGCCTCTTCACACTGCTCTGTCCATCCAAGTGGGAGCTGCCTCTACATTTTTTAAGGAAAATAAAAAATTACAATTTGGAAGTTTTATAGGATAGAGGAAAAAATAAAAACCAAAAAAAAAGACTAAAGGGAAATGTGACTGATGTGACCAGAAATTCAGTAAAATACATCTAAATGCCTCTGATAACGAAGTATCCCACAGGGTCTCTTTAATAAGCATGGGAAGTAACACCAACCTTTGAAGAAGTCAAGAATTTAGTGCCAGATAAAGATCCAGATACATAATCTGGAGACTCTGATAAGTCATATTCAAAAGGCATATTCAAAAGGACTCTGATAAGTGAGGATGTTGATTCTACCAGCTGAGACTAAGAAATAGTCTCTACAGTCTTTGCAGGTCTGGAAGTTGAGACTTAATCACTGAAGCCCAGTAGTTTGACAGTGGGGATAGATATGTTAGTTCAAGTTGAATTCTCACATGTCCCCAGGGGCACATCTAATTCAGCTGTGATGTTTGTAAGTAGGCAAATGATATGAGCCAGGAAATACAGGACTGTCATATGATGCATTCTCTCTCTCTCTCCCACACTCTCCTGTATTTGAGTGCATAGGAAATAAAATGGTAATGTTATCAATTTACTTATTAAAGAATATAAGTCCTACAAATATCAAATATTTTCAATATTCAGAAGTCTACTCAAATGTCATCAAATCCTACTGACCTGAAAGTTACCTACTATTCCCCAAGGCACCACACCCTGCAGTTCTAGAGTATGTGTGTTTAACCCAATGTGCACTTCTAAGAGTTAATAGCTCTGTGTGTGAATGTATATGTGTGTGTGTGTGAATAAACATCACAATTCAACAGTTTTTTTAAAGCATCAAATGAATGTCTTTATCAATTTAGCTTTTAATTTTAAACTCTGTGATTTTCTTACTTTTTGGAGATCATTATCCAAGACTTTGTTTTTTACTAATGCACATTTTAAAGACACATTTTTGGATATGACTATTACAATGACAGATACATATTCACATTTTAAAATAACATTAATATTTGAATTTTAATAAACATATTTTGGCCACTGATATATGTCAGCATGATTCTTTGTTTATTGTTTCATGTAATAATGATCTTTTAATTTATTTAATTTTCACCATAAACTGCAGTATCCATACGTAGCTTCTTAAACCAGGCAACAGTTTATAGCAAAATGTACATCCAAGAATTTTGAATATAAACTTCCATACAGAAGAATTCAGACTGCCCTTTTAAGAGGAGGATGTTGAAATGACGAGTTAATGGGTGCAACACAACAGCATGGCACATGTATACATATGTAACTAACCTGCACTTTGTGCACATGTACCCTAAAACTTAAAGTATAATAATAAAAAAAAAAGAGGAGGATGTTGATATTTGACGGAAATATGTACAGAAGTAAAAGCAGGCAAGTGACTAAATAAAAGGAAAAGGAGTACCCAGGTTCAATATAGAGCTCTTGGTTTTTTTCCATCAGGGTGTGTTTTTTCTTTTCAAAAAGTATTCTCAATTTAATGTAGACAACGGACTCTGTAAACAGTTTATGATTTTGCAATATTTTTCTCAAAACTCTATTTCTTGCTCAGGAATGTATTTTAAAACTTTAAGGTTAATACAGGTTGTGTCCTTTAGTCTTTCTACTACCATCCCCTATATGCACAGATCAGATTACCGGTGTGGTCTTCAATAATATATTATAGTATTATACTAGAGATGACACAGTACCAGTTATTGGGAATGCCTTTAATGCTTTGTACCCTTGAGAAAGAAGAAAAAACAGCCCTTCACTATCAGTACCTGCCTGACATTATTACCCATGAGGCATGGTGTTGCTAAGAGATGGCTTGGTGCTCACAGCTAGGTCTTTGTTCTTTGTACTCTCCTGTTGAATATATGAATTTTGTAAAAAATGCCATAATTGCACCAGGCCACCCTGTGAATTTGATAGATCAAGACAAAAGTAAGGCTACTTTATCATTATGACTGAACTTAGATAAGGGAAAGAAAATTGTTTAAACCATAAATATAACCAAACATCTCCTTTTCCTGGAAGAATGCCTACTGCTGTGTACCACTGAAGTCAAAATATAGAAAGAAATGTAAATTTAACACATTGTATTTGAAAAACAAGAATTGCAATTTGGAGTATGCACACAGACAGGGTGATCTTCCATGTACCTGAAGAACAAAGAGAAGGTTAGAGGTTTTATGAAAAGAGAAGTGTTATATATTGTTTATAAGAAATTTAATTGGTACTAGTAAACTTTTGGGGACCCAGCAAGCTCCAATTGGTAAGTGAGGGTGGTGGGTAAAACTAGTTTTAGAGTAGCAGCAGGTTGTTTTAGTAGTTATTAGATAAAACTGACTTCCAAGTATAGCAGGCAGTTTTAGCAGCCAGGCTTGCAGAGAATTGCATTCAAGGAGGTCTTATGTACCCTGAGTGCTTTGTCCCTTGGCCTCTTGACTCTGTTTTAGTTGGGTATGACAAAAAACCCAATTTGCATGATTAGCTTTCACAGTACTTATTACAGGTATAACCTCACCATACTCTTCCCATGATTTAGTTAATATTTACTAAGATGGTCAACCATAGAATTACCCCTGATTTCTGATTGCGTTCAATCCAGAAGAAAGCATCACTTTGAACTCTCTCTAAAAATCACCTAACATAAGGTCAAACCTTGTAAGTACTTTTGAACACTTCTTTCTGAGACATCACAAAATTCCCATTAGTGTGTGTTCTCCCTCAATGCAATAACCAGTATACCCAACTTTTTTTTCAATTGCAGCTCTGCATCTGGTAGTCTTTGGCTGGAGATCATTTACACCTGTTTTGACAGTTTCTTTTTTTTTTTAAGAACTACCAAATACTAAATACGCTCACATCTGATATTTCTTCTATGCCTTTCTCTTAGGCATTTTTTAAAAATTAAAATTATCATAATGATTTAAAATGTTGGTCAGACTTTCTTCACAAGTCCCAAGATATTAAGATTTCTCTCTCTCGCTCTGTATTTGCCTTGTGGCTTTTTGTATTTAAACATATAACAGGAATTCCTGTATAGTCTACAGTCTATTCTGATTATTCATGGATTCAATATTTGTAAATTTGCATACTAGGTAAAA
Source organism: Homo sapiens (assembly GCF_000001405.40). Lineage (NCBI taxonomy): Eukaryota > Metazoa > Chordata > Mammalia > Primates > Hominidae > Homo > Homo sapiens. The sequence continues at coordinate 134,123,545 of NC_000004.12, read as the reverse complement.
TTTCTTTGTAACCACTAAATCGATGCTCATGGCACTTTCACAGTTGTTTGCAGACATGTGCACTGCACCAAACACTTGAGTCACCTGACAGGCACCTTTCTGGCTGAGGTTAAATAAGGTGATGCCCTGAGTTATTGTTTCACCTCTCAGGCTATAATCTACTTGGTAATCTACTTATTGCCACATTTTTTCTCATTTGTGTGCTTCTTATTGGTAATTTTTCTGTTTAAAATTGTCTCTAAGCATAGTTCTGAGATGCTGTCTAGTGCTTCTAAACACAAGAAGGCTAATAGGTACATTATGGAGAAAACATGTGTGTTGAATAACCTTAATTCAGGCATGAGTGATAGTGCTGTGGGCCATGAACTTTAATGTTAGTAAATCAGCAATATATATTAAATAAGGTGCCTTTAAAAGACACACATAAAACAAGTCTATATTGATACAAATGACGTGACTAGAGGCTCACAGGTACCTAACCCTGTATTTCCTCTAGGAGCAATGCTTTGTATAGTTTAATTTAGTGTATGTGACAGCTTTATAGAATGTAACTACTGTAAATGATGAGAATTGTCTGTATTCCTAATTGCAAAAGCACTGAGAAATTTTAGTCACTATCTGAGTAAATATTTGGAAAATTATGACAAATAGTTAATATATGTATATATAAATATGTGATGTAAACAAAACACCTTAAACTATAAGAAGACAATAAAATCATCAATACATAAGTAGAAGAAGCATATAAACAATTAATAAAAAGGAAATGTAAAAATTGTAAGCAAATATGTAGAAATACTTTTATTTGTATTAATAATCAAAGAGAAGCAAATTAGAGAGACTTTAGATAATATTTTAAATTGAGTTCCCTTTTAATGATAGCAACTAATGCTATCAAGTTTGTTTTAAAATTATGAAATATTTGCTGATGATGGAACTAGAAATTGCTTTTCAACATTTTGAATGCATTTGGTATTATGTAGAAAATGTTTAAAATGCTTACTTCTTTTGATCTAATTTTCATATTTCTAAGACTGTAGTGTACAAAACTATAAAAGTGAGATAGAGAAGTCTCTAAGATGCTCATTGTTATTGTTAAACACAATACAATTTAATATTTTAAAATTGCTTTAAATAATGATTAATAAGCATATTGCACAATTTTAAGTCTGTAAAATAATTTTTAAGTTACTTAAAAAAATGCTTATGAGAAAATATTAAGTGATAAAATCATGGTACATGATGGCAGATATTCTGTGAGGCAATACAGTCATATGTGCAAAAGAAAATCATTTTAGTATAATGGAATAAGAAAACTGAAATGAACGCTGATTTGATAGTGTAATTACATTTGCTGTTTCTGAATTAATCTTAACCACACCAAGAAATAATAAAAAATGACAGTTGACTTTGTTGACCAAACACAAGTGAATATGATTTTTACTTCTGGATATGGTAGTGTAGTTGTGTCAATCCAAACATATTGCTTGAGAATTACTATGAAATTTGATTAAAATATAAAAAAATAAAAATTATAAGTTTGAAGTTACTTTCGGGTAACTAAGACAGGGTATGGAAGCCAAGATTCAACAATTAAAGAAAACACATCATGGCGAACTTGTCTTTCATTTTTCTTCATGGGATATTTGTTGATTTGCTACACAGTGCTTTGATCCTAAACAGAAATAAATAAGCTTTTGAAACAAATATTGGAGTACAAGGATGCAATAATAGTAAAGGATCACCATCCTATAGAAAAGGTAACCACAAAGAACACTGATATTCAGCATGGCGTTAGTCCTCAGGAAATTGTTGAATTCTAACTTGTGCAGGAGCTGGAAGTTGAAAAAAAGCAGTTTAAAGGGTTAAGCAAAGATTTCAACAGGATCATTGAATTGTGGGAAACAAACAAAAAGGAGAATAAGGCTTACCTTGGAGAGTGGATAGTGAAAACATCTCAGGTATTTAATTGAGACCTATGGGAAGCTATATTCTGGGGAAATTGATAGCTTCTAATAAAGTAGTATTTATAAACTTTAAATTTAGCTCCGAACCATCTCAATCTGTTTGGATCAATATGATCTGTCCCTACTCTAACTTAAGACAAAATTTCTATTAAAAATTGTATCTCTTCTGGAGAAAGGTAACATCATTCAGAATCGCTATAACTTATCATAAAAATGTTCAACATTCAATAAAATGTTACAAAACTCGAAGGAAGACATAAACTGAAAATTTAAAAGTAAATAATAAAAAAAGATAATATAAACAGACCCACAGGTAATCCTGATATTAGTTATCAGAGTTACAAAATAATTATAATTTATATATTTTTTAAAGAGATTACAAAGTTAAGACTTTTATGAGATAATATTTATAAAGATCATAAAGAATTGAGAATTCTAAAAATCATTGAATTATAGTTGAAATTAAGAACTCACCATATGGGTTAACAGCATATTATGTTAGTGGGATAGAAAGTTAAGAAATAGAAAGTAGAATTGTAGAAAATTTACAGAATTAAAAACACATAGACAAAAATGAATGAAAATAAAGCACTAAAAAGAATATGAGACACATTTAGAAATGTGAAAAAGCTCAGAATAAATGTAAATAGCTCCACAGAGGAGAGAGGAGAAAAACAATTTAAAAAATATATATTTAAAAAGATTTAAAAATGCATCAAGCTGCTACCGATGCCAAAAAGAATAAATACACAACACACACTTGCCCACACACAAACCCTAAACACATATAGTAAACAACAAAAAGCAAACATAAAGAGAAATATTCAGTGTCCTAAATGAAATTAAAAGACACATGATTTTCAAAGAAGTAAATATTAGACTGATAGCTGACTTTATAATAAGAATGACAAAAGATTATGTAATAGCATGTTTAAAATCTTGAAGGAACATAGAAGTATATACCTGGTAAAATCATTCTTCAAAAATGATGTTATAATAAAGACGTTTCAAACAAAAACTAAAAAAATTTTCTCCAGCGGCCCTTCATGAAACAATTGTTTAAGGCATAAATAAGGGGATCTTGGAAGGACATACAAGAAGAAGGAATGAAGAACATTATAATATATAAATAAATTATTAAATATAAATGAATATTAAAAATTTATATTAGCAATAATATTTTTGGAAGTATTAAATACACACAATATTAAATTAATTATCAATAATAGCCTATATGTGGAAGATAATTTTAAATTAAAACCATGGTAAAAAATCACTCTAGTTCATTAGAATGGCTAAAAGGAAAAAAAAAAAAAAACCAAAGAACAAAAATGCAATACCAAGTGCTGGTTAGGGCTTGGAGCTAGGGGACCCTTCACATAATGCTAATCAGAGTACAAATTACTATACTAGTTTCTAAAACTGTCAGTATTAACTGATAGTTTATGTGTATCCTGTGACCCAGAAATTCCACTCCAAGATCAATGTCAACAGAAGTGCATAAATGTATATATGTACCAGAAAATATGTGAAAGAATGTCCAGAGCAGTATATAAAACACTCCAAATTCAAATGATTGCTATCAATGTTAGAATGAATTAAATGTCCTTCAAGGTTAAAATGGATTAAAAATGTGATCTATTCACTCAGAGTGCAGCAATGAACATTTACAAAATACTGCTACAAGAACTAGATGGGCATATCTCCCAAACATAATGTTAAAAGAAAGAAACAAAACATAAAAGAGGACACTTCATATGACATCATTTAAGTAATGTTTCTTAAAAATATAAAGAGTATAATTAATCTCTGGAGACAGAAGTCAGAGGAGAGAATATATTTTGGAGAACATAATGAGAGGGCACATAGGTTGTTTCTGGGTACTTGGTGATGTTTGAACATTGATTTGGGTGACACCTACCAGGTGTGTTTGCAGGGTAAGATGTATTGACTTGTAAATGTAAGATTTGTGTACTTTTCTTCTTTACATTTTAATATAAATAGGTTACATAAAAAATACACTGGCATAATATTGTGGTTAATAACTTACTTTATATGCTCCAGTTAAATATTTTATAAAAAATAAAACATTATTCTGTCTTCCTTCTCACATTATTTCCCCCCACACCCTCAAGGCAACTATTATTTTGAAAAAAATGAAATAATCAGAAATAATTATATGAGGCCAATGTATAAGGTATGTGCAAGAGCAAGAAGATCATATCTACTTCTCTTTAAAAAGCATTTAAAATTATATCAGTTTGTAGTCAGAAAACATGTTTTAAATGTAGATCTTCCTTTAACTTGCTGTGTGATACTGGGAGAGACCAGTCACTGTCGCTTGTTTTTAATTTGTAAAAGAGAGATTGGTACTATAAAATTTCATGGTTCTCCTCTTGCTTTAAGACTTTTACATTAACATCTTGCATGTGGTTATGCGATAATACTTGTTTAAGAAACATGATATATCAAATTTCATAAGCATATACTTGAGAATTCAAGCATAAAACATAGTGTCACAGTGATTAATAATATTAAGACTCATGATTGATAACAAATATTGCATTTATATGTAGTACCTTAATTGTGAGGAATTTAAACTATTTTAGAAAAAAAATCATGCTATAAAACAAGACACTGTTATACTGTTTTGAGATGCCAATAATTTGCTTTATAAAATTTCCTTTAACCATTTTGCCTCAGTCTGTGTTTAAGTTGATGAATCATATTACAACACACAAGAGACAGCTACATTTCTTTAAAAGCAGATGGTAAATGTCAATTACTAATTGAGAACATGCTATTCTACTGAAGCAAACTAGGGAATATACTTTTGAAATGGAAGGTAGAATTTAAGCAAGTAAAGAAAAAAAGAGAAATCTCTCTGAAATCTAATGCCAACAAATAAAATCCAGCTGTATTAATTAAAATATAAAATATCAGCAATAAGGGAAAATTGATTTTTTTTTTACCTATTTGTTTGAAATTCTTGGTCAAACAGGATAAAAATTAATCTTTAAATATTTGTCAATCAAACAGGATAAAAATTAATCTTTAAATATTTGTCAATCTAAGTGTTGCCTTAGACTGTCAATCACTCCAATCATAATCTTCCATTATCATAAAATATCATTTATAAAATTACATTTTATATTGGCTAGCTTTAATTTCTCATTAATCAAAAGGCAGCCTATGTAACCATGAAAATGGAGTGTGCTATTCCACATAGACCTGAAAAGCTGTAACATTCAACTGTGAATTGAACCATGATTTTCAATTGAACCATCATTTGCTGAATTGTTCCATGACTTTCCAAGGAAAGTTGAGACATCCTTTACAGGAACTCTGTAAGGTCTGGCATTTTAACCTACTTATGAATAACAGGCCAGACTGTCACTCTCTCATGGGTACTGGCAAAGGTAGGACACTACTGAGTCAGGGGCAAAGGAGTTTATTACTCATGGCAGAGAAAGCAGCATGGTCCTCATGTTGTTGACACCATTATCCTTAGGTCCCCTAAGTCCCAGTAGGGGAACACAGATTGGGCTAGATGATTGCCTGCACCTGTAATGGGCTGGATTACAGGAGAAAAATGCTGAGCTTAGCATGTTTTATGGGAAGTAAAAGCAAAGCTGCTTTTATTTTGAGAGGAGTTATTACTTCATCCCAGATCATTGTTGGCTATAAACCCAACCCCAGAAAATGTATTCCTGGCATATGCAGCAAGAATGTGCAGGGATCCTCAGGGCGCATTGCCTCTCCCTACAATTATTTGGGAATCCCACAGCATGATGGGCTAACTTTGTTGTTGTACTCTTTGCATTATATTGCCATTTTTTAATATATATTGATTTTTTTCTTCAAACTAGGCTGTAAAAACACTGAGAGAAACCATTCATGCTTGTGACCTTAGCATCTATGAACACTGACATCAACTCAGTGTTTTCTCTGCTTCTTTATTGCTGTGTAATGAATCATCCCAATTTTAATAGTTCAAACCAACAATAATTTTATTAACTGTCACGGTTTCTATGGTCAGGAAATAAAAAAGAGCTTGTCTGAGCAGTTCTGGCTCAGGATCTCTCAAATGGTTGCAGATAGATGGCTGCTACAGCTGGAACTCTAGAAAATTGGAGAAGATGGTGGCTGCCTGGATATTTTTATCATTCCATGTAGTTATCAGGGCTTTCTCATGTGGTCTCTCCTCATGCGTAACTGTGCAGTTTTGACTTCCTTGAGGTACTTAGATTCAGAGCTCTAAAAGTGAATGTTCCAGAAAGTAAGACAGAGAATTACTTTTTCTCTGTTAGCTTGCTTTAGGAATTACTTCCTCCATGGTCAGCAGCCTGCTCAGACACAACAGGGAGAACATAGGACCCCTCTCACCATGGTAGAAGTGTCAGGATTACATTTTAAGATGAAAATATGGAATGGGAGATACTGTCATGGCTATAGTTTGAAAATGCAAATAGCTACATTCTTTTAGACGTTATTGCTGAACGAAAAGAATATAGAAGAAAGAAAGGATAGAAAAAAGAAAAAAAGAGACAGAAAAATAGAAGAAGAAAGAAAGAACAAACCTAGAGTAACATAGAAATATAACCTAAATATCATAGAATATAATTATAGTAACAGGGCAAAACTGTAAAACATACAAAGATCTTATTGTAGATGCATACATTTAATTATTTTATTCTTATGTTAGGATTTTGATTGCCAAATAAGTTTATATCAAATGAAGGAACTACTGGATGAATAAAGAACTGGAAAACTATTGAAATTTTATTGAGATCTGGTTGGGTGCTTTAAACATAAATGTAAGATATATATTTCTTAATTGGAACATAAATTTATACATCTTAATATTGTTATTATATTTAATTTTCATTGTTAATAATGTAATATTATTCTGTTCTTGCCTAACATTGATTCACACCAAACAGTAGTTTGAGTAAAACAAAAATAGCCATATTAGGAGCATAGATAGAAATAAGTAAGTAACTAAGATAGATAGGTCCACATAAACTTAAATTTCAGTTGGTCATTAGGTTAAGTATTTTCTCCTACACTAGAAAGGATTTTAGTGATTCCGATGGCTTTAGTTCTGAACAAAGGGGTTTGTGGATTTTCTAATAAGTTTTTGAGTACTTGAAAAACATCAAAGAGCTATAACTTAAAATAGTTACTATGTCTTATAACATTGTTGGTCAGTGGGCTTTTAGTCACTTTTCCTTTGCCCTTTGCATCATTTCTTGAAGAGTTTCTGCCATTGTAAGCTGATGGGCAATTTACTTACATGTAATGTGACTCTTCCACTTGGACTTATAATTGTAAACTTCTTTGAACACTACCAGTTAACTTCCTGACTGGGAGTGAATAACAGGTCTGCAGATAATGGAGGTCATGCCATGTGGAAATGATGTGCTTCTACTTTGCAGTCCCTGATGCAGCTTCTGCCTATTAATTGTTCTTTCTGTCTTTATTTCTGAAAGTGGGACCCTCTCTATATGAGCAGATAATCCACTTATGCTGCAATTATACATTTATTTTTCAAGTACAGTATGTTCCTTTTACTATGCAAGCATTTAAAATTTTAGTTTTCAGTCAGTACATTATCTTTTTTATCTAATCAAATATATTCTTTTATACAAATAATATTTACTTAATTCTATAAAAACACCATTTTTCTCCTTCCTCTTCCAATCAGTTTAATACTCCCTAGATTCGCAGATGTGATAATAATTGAAAATATTATTCTGATTCAGATGTTTTTTCTTAAGGTGGAGTTTTGCTTTAAAACATATCTTGGTAGCACTATATTATTCTTCAGGCAGTATTCTTCATGTAGTATCACCATACTAATTTTGACATCCAGCAGCGAAACCCTCACTATTTCTGTCTTCACTCTGTTTTCCAGCCAAATTGTACTTCTTTATTCTTGGAAACAGTTATTTTCTCTTCTGCATGAAGATATTCAAGAAAGTTATTTCCTTATCCTGGAGAAATTTTCATCCCCCTGACTCTCACTGGTACCTGAATAAATTTTTCTCTTATTCTAGATCTCCTTCTAAACATAATTTCCTCTGTGAAGGTTGACACAACTAGCTGTATATTAGGTTCCTATTCTATAATTCCATAGAAATTCAAAGACCTCTCAAATTCTTTCTTATCTCCTTTTCTTCCCCTCATTCTCCCCCTCTCTCTACTTGTACACACATACACTCAGGCAAGTCATCACTTATTTAATTGACTACCTTTCATAGTAGACTATAAGCTTAATGAGGACAGAGGCCAAGTTTGCCTCATCACTATTTGATCACTAGGACCATAGACAGTGCCTCGCCTATTGTCTAAGTGTGAAGTAAACAATGAATAAATACATTTTGATTTCTGAGGAATTGTATTAATCCCTATTCATAGTCTGTGTTATCTCTTTGAAAACATGTTCTTTGGGAAAGAAAGGAAAGAGGAGCTGAGTAAATACAAAAGGAAAGTGGAGAAAGCAAGGAGATGTAAGCAAGATGGCAGAAATGAGAAATGTTGAAGCAGAGTACACAGTGGTGCATTCCCAATATAATGGAAAGGAGCTCTAATTGGAGTGATCAAAAAGAATGTTCAATTTCTGGTATAAGGCAACTGTCTTCTATCTAAAATGTTTGAAATAAATTGACTACAATTCTTTGATAACAAAAGGATGGATATTATTTGTACTATAAAAGGCAGAGATGATAATTCATTTTAATGACTCTAACTTTAATTGGTGTAACTTTAATAAGATCAATACCAAAGATATTTATAGTTTTAAATTTTTTAACGTGCTCTGACACATATTAACTAGTTTGCCTTCACATAAAAGTTTGAATAGGTTTTGTGAGAAAGACACATTCACCCGTCCAAACCCAACGAATAGACTTGGAGACACGAAGAACAAGAGAAGTGAGACTTTTAATGGTGGTCTTGCAAGATCAAGTGTCTGGTAGGCAGGCACACCCAGGGCAGTTACAGCAGGTAATTTATCTCCTAAGATGGAAGTCCTTCCCCCAGTTCCTCATTGGTTGAGTATTACGGAGGTACAATCTTGCCAGATGTCACCTAAGTTTCACCATCTCCCTTATAAGGTTATACCCCATCTCCTTCCCCACTTAAGTTTTGATTTCCCAAAAACAAAACTTTCTTCCCTTTTATGGGCTGACCCCTCCTCTACATTCTGTTTGCTTATTGTAACCTTCTAGGTGCATGAGCCATGAGGTTTGTTACATCTGCAGGCTGACTGCCAGTATTTATATTTATCATGCCTTGAAAATGAACCATTAAGATGTTTCACATTTCACATTTTTTTACCTGTGTGACAGATGTGAAGAGAGTCTCTGAAAGTGACTCCAACTTGTGCTTGTGGAGGTCTGCTCCTGGTGAACTCCAAAATCCACCCTCTTGTTCCTATTACCATTTCCCCCTGCTTAGCTGAACTATTCACCCCGTTTCAAGCAGAAGTTTCAAATAGCTTCCACTTATCTTTCCACTTGCTTCTTGCCCATTGCCTGTCCTCCAAAGTATTTCCAAAGTGTTCCGCTGAATTTAAAATTTATCATAACACCCAGATTTAAATATTTGTGACTTCCTATTACACACAGCAAAAGGTTGAGTATAATTTGTTGCCTTATTTACATTCCTTTTTCCATTATGCCACCCTCTTCTCTCTACACTTTTGATTATTTATAGATGCTTGAAAATGACCTTCTCTCTCATTCCTCTGGGCCTTTATACAGGTTTCTGCTGTCTAGCGTGACTTTCTCCTACATTTTGCACTGATTAAATGCTACTTACGTTCAACCACACAGTTCAAGCATCAGCTCAGTAGTCTTTTTTAACCCCTGTAACTGAATTAGTTACCTCTATTTCTCTAATTTTCAAAAATGTTTACTATATCTGGTATGGCAGTACAATCATGTGTTTCTTAACAGTGGGGATAGGTTGTGAGAAATGCAACTTTAGGCAATTTCATCCTTGTGAAAACATCATAGAGTGTACTTACACAAACCAGATGGTATAGCCTACTACACATCTAAGCTATAATACAGCTATTGTTTCTAGGTTAAAAACCTGTACAGAATGTTATTGTACTAAATACTGTAGGCAGTTATAACACAATGGTGTTTGTGTTACATGGAAAAGGTGGAGTAAAAATATGATATAAAAGAAAAAATAATGGTATACCTGTATACGTCACTTACCACGAATGGAGCTTGCAGGATGGAAAGTTTCTCTGGTGAGTCAGTGAGTGAGTGGTGAGTGAATGTGAGGGTCTAGGACATTATTGTACCCTATTATAGACCTTATAAACATTGCACATTTAATCTACATTTAACTTTAACGTTAGCTGACTGTAACTTTTTTACTTTCTAAACTCTTAAACATTTTGAACTTTTTGACTCTTTTGTAATAACACTTAGCTTAAAACACAATCAGACTGTACAGATGTATGAAAATATTTCTTTCTTTATATCCTTATTCTATAAATTTTTTTCCATTTTTAAATTTTTCAATTTGTTTTTGTTTTTAAACTTTTTTGTTAAAAACTAAAACACACACACATTAGCCTAGACCTACACAGAGTCAGGTTCATCAATATCACTGTCTTCTACCTCCATGGCTTGTCCCAAGGGAAGGTCTTCAGAAGCAGTAACACGCATTGAGCTATCATCTCCTATGACAATGCCTTCTTCTGGAACATCTCCTAAAGAACCTCCCTGAGCTTATTTGTGTGATTTATACTATAGCAAAATAGTAGACTATTCTAATACTATTCTAGAAAGCATAGAATAGTAAAATCACCTACAAATATATGTACACACACACATATATATACATGCACATACATATACATATATGTTAACCATTATATATACATTAGTGTGCATATATGTATAGATGTAGATAGATAGATGATATATAGATAGATATATAGATAGATAGATAGATAGATAGATAGATAGATAGATAGATAGATAGTTACGTGGAGCATAGTAATTACCCGAATGGATCCAGTTGTTTTTTGCAGTAACAACTCTCTTAAAGAGAAAGGATTATTATAAGTTGAGTAGATAACTTCAAATTGGTCAATAGATTGTTGTATATAATCTAAAATCAGAGAGAACTTACTAGAGTATATTGACATATGGAGTACAGAAGTGAAAAAAGAGACAACGATAAAATCATCCGTAAAATATATTACTCTTACAAAGAAGGTGAAGCTATTATGTGATGAAATGCAAACCAATTTTTAACTAGTATTTTCCAGAAATCAGAGTTTGAATGTATGCATACTTTGCATAGCTACTTCATTCATTTCATTTATTTTAGCTTTTATCTTTATAATATTTTTAGCCTAATCTCACTTGGTTACTTTGTAGTTTTCTAAATAATGTGACCTGTTGTTAAACTATTTTATTCTTTCTTCTTCACTAATGACTATATTGCAATGTGTATTTTTTCTTCTGAGTACAGATTTTACTATGTCATTATTTTATATAGAATAACAATTTTATTACTTCTTGTATAGTTTGATATTTCATATTTGATTTTAATCTTCCTTGTTTCATAATTCTCAAACCATCAAGATTTTCTGGTTACCTTTTCCTAATTATCAAAATTCTATAAAAATTTGGGTAATAAAATCTTTGTGCCTTAGTCTGTTTTCACGCTGCTGACAAAGACACACCAGAGACTGGGCAATTTACAAAAGAGGGAGGTTTATTGGACTTACAGTTCCACATGGCTGGGGAGGCCTCACAATCGTGGTGGAAGGTGAAAAGCATGACTCACATGGTGGCAGACAAGAGAAGAGAGAGAACCAAAAGTAGAAACACCTGATAAACCCATCGGATCTCATGAGACTTATTAACGATCACGAGAATAGCACGAGAAAGACTGGCCCCCATGATTCAGTTACCTCCCCCTGGATCCCTTCCACACTTTGATTTAAAATTTATATCATATCAAGATTTTCTGTGTGGTCAATGCAATAGTCCTGGTTCTCTAGAGACACAGAACAAATAGAAGTCTATATGTGTGTATGTGCTTGTGTGTGTGTTTCTCTGGATAACACTTAATATGTCACAGTTACATACACATGTGTGTGTGTATCTATCTATATCTAGCTATATCATCTATATCTATATTTGCATCTATGTCTATATATTGTTATCGTTTGAATGTTTTTTTCCTCTCCAAAATTCATTTGAAAAATGTTGAAATAAAATCCCCAATGCAATAATTTGGGAACTGTAGCTTTGGGAAATGATCAAGTCATCAGAGCTCTGCTCTAATGAATTAAATTAGATGCCCTTATAAGAAGACTTAGTGAAGGGAGTTTGCCCCTTTTGCCTTTCCCCCTTCTGCCTTGTGAAGACACAGTATTTCTCCCCTGTGGAGGATGCAGTATTCAAGGCACCTTTTTGGAAGCAGAGGATGGACCCTTACCAGATAACTGAAACTACTGGCACCTTGATCTTCGACTTTCAAAACTATGAGAAATAAATTTTTGTTCTTTAAAAATAACCCAATCTCAGATATTTTGTAGTAGCAGCACAAATGGACTAAGGCAAGTGTGTGTCTGTGCACGTGTGTGTATACATATATACACATACGTATTTGTATACATATATAGCCTTGAGTTCCTCATTTGTGGGTTCAACCAACTGTGGATCAGAAAAATAAAATTGTATTCGAACTGAATATGTACAGACTGTTTTTCTTGTCATGATTCCCTAAACAATGCAGTATAACAACTATTTACATAGCATTTACATTATATTCTGCATTATAAGTAATCTAGAGATGATTTAACATATACAGGAGGTTGAGCATAGGTTATATTCAAATATTATGCAATTTTATATCAGGGACTTGGGCATCCATGAATTTTGGTATCCACAGAAGGTCCTAGAACCAATCTTTTAATCCCCCAATGAATACACACACACACACACACACACACACACACACACACACACACACACAAGACAGAGAGAAAGATACACTTTTTATTCTGTTATTAGTTGGGGGATTTTATTGTACTTTTCTATTTTATTAATGGTTACTTTCTCTTATTTTTCCCTGCATATATTTATCCTATTTTCTAAGAAAAAAATATTTTTCATACTCTGCTTCCAACTTCTTTTTACATCTAAAATTCTGAAAATCCTTTAGAATAATCTTACTTCTTTTTAATAAACCCTACACTATCAAAGTATCCTAAATTTTTCTTAGTTAAAATGGCAGTTTTAATTGACAGTAATTACTACCATTTCCTGTATAGCAAACATTTTCTTTTCCAAGAGTTATTCAGTAATTATAGTATACTTTCTTTATTCATTTAACTTAATTATGTATATGCTTACTTTATTGCCCACCATTGATTTTTCCCTCTGTATGCTCTCTTTCTTGAGGCTCTTTTCTGGTTATTTAGTTGCATTTTTTACAATCCTTTGTCAAGTATTTTCCTCAGGTAGAAAAGCAAGTGATATGTTTCTTTGCATATGCATTAACTTATTTCACCTTGTCAAATGAATGACATAATTGCATTGTTAGGTACAGGGCTCTGCAAAGCAGTTTTTTGTTCAGTAGCTATAAATATTGTTTGCAGAATTTGTTCTATAATTTCCAAACCATCAAGAGTTTCTGGGTGGCACACGCCTGCAGTCCCAGCTACTTGGGAGGCTGAGACAGGAGAATTGCTTGAACCTGGAAGGCAGAGGTTGCAGTGAGCTGAGACCATGCCATTGCCAGCCTGAGTGACAGAGCAAGACGATGTCTCAAAAAAAAAAAATGATCTAGAAATTTGGATAATAAAATCTTTGATTTAAAATTTATATCAAGATTCTCCTTGTGATCAATGTATTATTTCTTCCAGTATTGGTGAAAAGAAACCTAATTTTTTTATTAATTTTTTTATCAGTGGGAGTCTTTAGAATTTTCCTTTATTTCTTGAATTTTTCAAAGTTTGCATTGTTCTCTTATAAATACTACCCAGAATAATATCCATAGGGACATTATTTTTCTTTCATCAGAATAATTAGTATCTCCCTTCTATTTATTTATTTCACTTCTTCTTATTTCATATTGTATCACCTGGATTCATCTGTCATTTCTCTCATTTTTTTCTTCCACAATTAGCCTATCTTTAATTTTTCTTTCATTTATACTTCTAAATATTGCTTTTACTTGATATTCAAAGCCTCCAATTTAGGCTCAACTGTAATTATTCTCTAAAAGCCACCAAATGTTTTAATAGAAAAAAGCACATTTTAAAAATATGTATATATTTATGTATACATAAAGATGTACATTCTGCATATACACAAGTATACATATATGAATATTGTAATTTGTGTTTAAAGAAAATCTTATGATACATACTTTTTTGCATCTTGCTTTTCTACCTTGATATTTCCATATGAAAAGCATTACAAACCTTACAAATCAACTAATATACATCTTTTAAAAATAATTGTTTAGGGTTACATAAAGTTTTTTGATTTTGGTACACCTCAATATGTTGAACTGTTCACCTGGCATGAATGTTTATTTATCAAACTTGATACTTTTTAAATAAGAAAATGTCCATGGGGTAAAGTTCAGAAATGGGTTGGAAGTCAGTCAAGGATTTCTTCTGAACACATTATTAGGCAATTAAAATGTTGTATATAAATACCTATATAAAAATGTCCTCCTTACTGTCTTTATATTTGTACAAAACTGGTCATGTCAAAATGGTCTGTTTTTATAGATACAGAGTGAGAACACCATCTCCAAATCAAGAAAAAAATCAGGGTCTAGGTTATATATTTTGCACTAGAGAACTGAGGAGACCCAGAAACCTCTGAAACCAAGGAAGAGTCAATGAACATCAAAATTCACACATGGAAATCATAATTAAGATCATAACCTGTAAAAATCAAGATTCAAGAAACAAAGCACAAATTTGTCTAATGCCTAAGTTTATATGCTCTTGAAGGGAATTATTAAATATACTCATAAATATCAGTTGTGGATTCTTCAGTCCTTCATTTTTATTCTTGAATTGGTCAGATGCCAGCTATGCTGGAGATAAGTGTAAGTAATGTCAGACCCAAGGGTTCAATTTTCTGTTTAATTTTATTAGGTTATCATTTTCATTACATTTGAGAAGAGGCTTTTGCCAGTGTCAAACATAAATAAAAGAGCAAAAGCTTTTCAATTTTCTTAAAACATGACTCAATACAACACAAAATTAGAAGTAACACTAGTCTAAATTTGACTTTGTCACATAATTTTAGTTAATTGAAGTATGGAACATTTTTATCAGAGCCATAATATGTTATCACAATTATGAGACTAGGGCTGTGTATGTCAGTATATATGTGTACATGTGCATATGTACCTTTTTCTGTATTTTATAAATAAGGGATATCAGAAAATATAAGTAGTAACATTGTTAGACCATCTTTCTGAATATAATTAAATTATTATTTACTTTTTAATGGACTTCAAATTTCTATAAGTATATAGTAAATGGTCTTTTTTATTTAAAACATCTAAATTTGTCTCTTAAGCTTTAATATAATCAATTTCCATGTCATATCTCTTCTACTGTAAAAGTGTGAGTTCAAAAATGAATAGAATAAAATATATGTCTTTGGGTCAACATAGAATTTAAAAAGCATTAGGTGTTATATCTAGAAGGAAATAATTTAATATTTAATGTTAAGAATATTTAAAACAAGCTGAAGTAACAAATCTTACTAATTGAACACACGGAATTGAGAAGTCATAATAGTGTCTCAAATTATGAGCTTGTAATAAAGAGATATTTAAATTCAAACTATGCTGTTTATAAACCAATCTATCTTGGGTAAATTATTGATTAATTAAATGTTCTGTTTCTACATACCAGAAGTTAGATAGGTTCTATCTACCAAAAAAGGCTGTTGCAACAAAACAATGTATAAAAATACTTGGCAAATAGAAGATGCTCGCTGAATTTAATGATCTTAAGCTTGCATCCTGTTCCAAATAGGAGCAATACTCACACTTTAATGTATACAGTACATTGGTTTTTACCTGGAATTTTATAGACAAGTTTTCATTACTTCCTTTAAGTAAACACGTTTTAACTAAATTAAACAGTGATATTTCATTAACTATGAATAAAACTGTTTGTTAAGCAAATTAATAAGGTAAATGTAATATTAGAATTATTATATAAGTGAAGAAAATATTAAAATATTAATCATAGTATTCTAGGCTTGGAAGTATCCTTAGAGAGGAATTATCTATCTACTCTATTTTATAGATGAAGAATAATGATAAAATGATTTTTCTAAATTATTTCCCTAAATAATTCTTATGTATTTATGAATTTTGTGTAACTGTAGGTAAATCGTTTTAGCTCTGTGAAACAAAAAGGAAAAAAAAATTTAGAAGACTGCAATGAAGCTCAAAAATGGTACAGTATTTTAATGTGCCCTAAAAAATTTAAGTCACAAAATCAATATATTATTATTATTTAAATGATAGATTCCTCGCTAGGTAAATTCTCCACTTAGTTTAGTATACTAACTGCTTACTTAAACTTGAAAGAAGCATTGTTAAATCTTTGCCAATGCTCTGTATGCTCATGATATAAATAGGTTAAAAATGGCCCCTGATTAGTGCCCCATCATAGGAAAAGTCCTATGATGATAGTTTAAGAGAAAGGATGCAACCTCCTACCCAAATCAATAAATCAAGCCTGCATTTTTTTGAGTATCAGAAAGAATCAGACTGGAAAATACATGACATAAATTTCTTTTCAGTGCATGCGACTCATCACATTACCACCCTTAGAAATCTTCCATAATGTACTTTCTCATCCCTTAGTCTTCGCTAAGTTCCTTTCCAATTTTTTCTATTGATTACTGCTATTAATTACCTATGGCTATTAGTTTCCATTGATATAGTCACTAAATTTAAAAGTAACCTATTTTCATATTTTTCTGTCTCACTAATTGTTAAATTCCATGAAGCAAATGATTATATCATTATCTTTTTGTTCCTCTGATCTGTTACATTTCTTTTTATTGCTTCTTACACTTCTATTTTTCTTTCTTTCTCTTTCTTTCTTTCTTAGCATATGAATGAATGAGATGGTTTTCTTCACTTTTTCCTTTTGAAAATTGATTTGAGTTTCATTAATTAGACTAATTCTATACAAATATTTTTCTAAATTATTTCCCTAAATCATTCTTATGTATTTATGAATTTTGTGTAACTGTAGGTAAATCTTTTTACTGAAATATTCAATTATCAGGCAATTGGGAAAGCACCAGGAGCATGATAGTCAGGGTAAGTGAGTAAGAATTATATCAAAGCACAATAATTTTTAAAGAAAATTAAACTTAATCTGGAATTACAGGTTGACAAATCACGGCTTTCAGTAGAGAGCTTGGTACCAGGCTATGAATTAATATTGACCATAATAAAACAGGGGCAATGAGTTAGCTAAGGAATTCATCTAAAGAAGCAACAGGATAAGCGTAACATGACTTTAAAGAGTAATTGAATCACTATCTAGAAAAATTTATAAGCAGGAACTATAAAGAAAAGTAAATTGTTTTCTTCTGGATTATTACAGCAGTCTTTTAACAAGTCTCCTTGACTGAATTATTTAAAAGCTTTCTCATCTCCTCCTCCAAAGTTAACTTTTCAAAACATGAATCACATAATTTTCTTCTCAGTAAGCTTTTATGACTCACAATTGATTAGAGAATAAAGCCCACTAAAAAACTTTCTACAGCCACCTTTCTAGTTTTGATTCATTGCATATTTTTATCCATAAGATGTGTTCAACATTTTCCTTTCTCTGTACTTCGCTAGTGATGAAATCCAAGCATATTCTAAAACCAAACAACACACTTTTCCTATTTTGTTTTTAAGATTTGTATGTCTGTATGTAAAGAAAACTTAGATAAATATTTTAAAATGTAAATTATATTTTTAATACCCAAAGCTTTTCCATTTATAAAAAGTCAACATTCTAAAAAATGGAGGCATCCTTAGAATCAGCAATATTTCAGTTTTATTGGCCTCTTAGAAGTAAATCAACCACATATATAGAAAATACATAACAGGAAATTTTAATATTAATACACCTATTATTTTTAAATTTTAGGATAGTTTTCACTTGTTTTGTGATATAACCATGCATGTTTCAAATGTTTAAACAAAATCAGTTTCAGAATTCCAAATATTGGGCTATTTTTGTTTAAAAACTTTATATTCCACAGAGATATATTTTTAAATTGAAGTGTGTACGTCACTGTAAGTTGGAGATATCTTTTTTTAATATGTAAAGAGAAATGTTCCAGAATCTGATGATATTTGCATTTGATTTTCACTAACGACCTCATTTTTCACTCCTGCAGGCAAACTCTGGAATACTCCTGTCACTGTGATTCATTGACAGAGACACACTTAATCACATAGTTGTATTAACAATTTTTGTTGCACTTTATACCTTAGTGGTTTTAAGAGGTCAACATTTATCATTCTGCATCTTGTTGGGCAGCACTTCTTGGAAAAAAGCTAAAAATCAAATTGATATCTCAACTTTATTAAGACATGAGAGCACACCGGTAATGTGTAATTGGTCATGCCTGTCTCCCATTTACATTTACCTCTCAGTATTTGCTTCTGTATAACAAATATTTTTGTGTAGATAATTGTGCAGTAGGTATTTTGCAGTTTGCCATAGATGTTGACTTATTTGAAATCATGTTGAGGAAAATGGCTGAAGTCTGAAGATAGCTGAAACCCATTATATGAGAGATGGTTGAAGGAACTAAAGAAGCTGACCTGAGAAAAGGATAACTAAAGGGACGTGAAAATATTTACAAATATTTGAGAACTGGAAATTTGGAAGAGGCACCATATTTTGGCCTGTGAGCACAAATATAACTAGGCAGGTACCTAGGGTGTTTAACCAACCAAGTTGGGAGAGATGCCTCAAACAGGTGCTGAGCTTCGGAGAAACGTATTTTCTCAAAGATCAGAGCTTTCCAAGCTTATATGGCATATGGGTCACCTTAGAGTCCTTTCAAAATGAGGATTCTGCTGTATGTAGTAGGTGGTGGATGGGACCTGAGATTCCAAATATCTAACAAGCTATTAGATTACACCAACTTTGCTGCTCAAGAAAGAACACCTAGATGACTGCCAAGGAGTCACTGCCTTTGTTCAACTGATAATGGTCAGGTGGAAAGGAAAGGAACAAGTGGAGGTACTTCTTGAAGATCAGCACTCTCTGATGATGCTTGCTCAGAAAGAAAGTTCTGTTGAGAAGGCCAGCTTGAGAACTTCCAGGGAAGTTTGAGGCTGCCTAGAGAAATTCACATTCAGGAGACCAGCGGTTTGTTTGATTCTGATTGGTGATACTGGAAGGGTAACTAGAATCAGAATTCATAAAGTTATTTTAAATATTAGCAAAAACTTTTAGTGTATTTTTGAATGTCACTAAAGAAGCTACAATATCTAGGCAAATGTGGAAAACAGTTGTACCTAAAGCATTTAATCAAAGCAAATGAATGCTATAGGTGATCCTAGAAAAACTCAGCTGGCATCAGTATTATGTGGAAAAAATTGATTAAAAAGCAGCTCATAGACAAATTGCACCTGATGACAAACAAATGGCAAGGTTTGCATTTTGGAGAATCTAACAAAATTAATTGATTTCTCCCTCCATGTACATTCACACACTGCTTTTCAGTTATCGATGAACTATATTACTACTTCTCTTGATATTGGAATATATTTCTTAAAGCTAGTCATGGAAACAGAATAGTTAAGAACAATAGATCTGATTATTTATTTTCCTTTATCTACTTGTTACAGTCTGAGTTGTCTCCCAAAATTCACAAGTTGAAATCCTAATACCCAGTACATCAGAATGTGACAGTATTTGAAGATGTGATCTTTAAAGAGGTAGTACATTTTAAGTGAGGTCATATGGATATGCCCTAATCAATATGATTGGCATCTTTTTAAGGAATGGAAGTGAGGATACAGAGAATGCACAAACGGGAACCATGTGAGGACAGTGAGAAGGTGGCCATCTACAAGACGAGATGAGAGGCCTCAGAAGAAAGAAACCAAATCTACAGACACCTTGATCTTCAACTTCTGGCATCCAAAACTGTAAGAAAATTTCTATTTTTTAAGCCACCCAGTCTGTGATATTTTGGCAACCTTAGAAAACAAGTACACTACCCATCACTGCAAAAAATATTTTGGGAAAAACCTAATTTTCATAAGTCTGTGGCTTTCTCTGCTATACTAGTGCAGTGACACCTTATCTAATAAACATACCAAGAGATTTTGAGGGATATAAATATGGAATAACCTATATTTTATTTAATTATAAATCATGATTTATATTTTAATCTTGCTGTGGAACTTTAAGAAATTAAGTATCGGCCCACACCTGGCCAAATGCCCCACATTAGAGGAATGTCAAACATGGAGAGCAGTTTTCAAGGGTTATTCTGAACCTTCCACATGTAATTGTAGAAATAAACAATGTAGAAATACAAATATAATATTTTAATGTTTCCAAAAATATTTTATATATTCTCTATGCACTATCATATAGCTATATAGAAATAGATGGATTATACATCCATATAGGTAGAAAAATAGAGACCATTTTACATGTACTTATAAACATATTTAGACTTAAATATATATAGAAATTATATAAAATAACATTTATTAAGTTCAAATTCTGCCTTTTGCCTTTTTATGGATATCATTATTTGGTTTACATTTTGATATCATTAAATTATTTGGATATTCTATAATATGAGAAATAGATCACTTAAAACTTCAGCAAACGTTTAGCTGATTGACTTCTTCCGTGATTGGCTGTGGTTTAACTTATTGAGTTGTTCCATGATTGGCTGTTGAACCAAACCTCTTATATAAGTGATGCCCAGAGTGGAAAATCAAAATCATTACTCTTCCTTTGAGGCGGAGTTTTCCAAAGTTGACTGGACATTAGAATTACCTGAGAAACTTTTTAAACATTATAATTCTCATGCTATACATCCAGAGATTCTGACTAAGTTGTGCTGGGGTATCAGGAACATCAACATTTTTTTTTAATGTCCTAGGTGATTCTTATAGTCAGACAAGGTAAAAATTTCTTCTCCATAAATCAGTTTTTAGTTTCATAGCACTTTTATGAGCTCAGTTAAGATAGAAACTTATAACATTATTATATCATTTTATTTATCTTGAAGGTCATTTTACTCCCTATGTAAAATCATGTATTTTGCAGGAAATCACGCAGTATTCTTGGAGACTATTGACTGGCATAGAAATTATTTTGTTTAACTACTTAGTTAACATAGTGTTTGTCAATTTATGTATAGAGGTCTGGAGAGTTCAGGGTTATTTTTAAATGAGAGGAATGGCATTACTTAGTATTTGCAGGAACAATAAAACTTTTCAAGTGAAATTAGATTTGTATGGACTGAATCATATTGGACAAGAATTCAAACAGCTCTGGAGAAGTGGAATATTTTTAATTCTATAAAATGAGACAAAGCTAGTCTGGATAGTAATATGGTGACATATTCTAAGTTAAAGCATGGGTTGAATGAAACATATGCTATTTTGTATATAACTTAAAATCAGATGGGAATTGAAGGGATACACTATTTTTAGCTATGATAGATGCCTTACCATATATTTATTTAGGACAGGATGTATGGCCTTGTCTCATGCTTTATCCACGCACACACTGAATAAATAACACTATTGTAGTTCCACCAATCAATCTAAATACTCAAATGACTGAAAGGTGTCACGAAAGAGGCTACTGTTGTTTTTCCTTTCCCTGACTTGGTTGGTTGTTAATTCCCACAGCTGTATAAAAAGAAAAATGTTGCCTATAAATAGAAATAAACAATTTATGGCTTCATGAGAGGTTTCTTTGGAGAAATAAGATTCTTTTTTTTTTCTGTATATTTTCTAACTTTTCCTATCCAAGTAAAATACCCATGACAACTTCAAATTAATCCAAGGAAAAAACTTCTCACAAGTAAAACATCTTTCGTGCATCAGAATTTATGTTGGAAAGCAGAATTTTGGGCAAGTTTATCACATGCAAAATAAAACATTCTGACTTTCACTGTGTTAATTGCTTAAATTAAAATTATTAGTAAGATCAAATCTG
The DNA here is from genome assembly GCF_000001405.40 of Homo sapiens. NCBI lineage: Eukaryota > Metazoa > Chordata > Mammalia > Primates > Hominidae > Homo > Homo sapiens. The sequence goes on along the minus strand of NC_000004.12, from coordinate 134,101,327 downwards.
AGTATTCTCTGATATTATTAAAGTTTACTTTAATGGAAAACTTCAAAATGCAAATACTGATAACCAGTCAATAGAGGCATGTATTCCTCATTTAAGTTAAATGCGCCTCCATCTTTGTATCTGGATAACTAATGCTTTTAATACAAAAATATATTTAAAAACAAACAGGAAAATTCAACTACAGCTAGCAACTTTACCAATCATACTATAAAGCCTGTTATGTAATTATTATTTAAGCCTTTAGAGTTGCAAAATATAGATTGCCAAGCTGATCCAATATGTCAGATGCTATTAATTTTCTAATGTTTTCTTCTAATACATTTGTTTTTGATGGGAAATATGTATTTTCCTTAGAAGATAAAAGGCAAATGAAAGAAAATACATCACTAAAATTATTATTTTATATCTTTATTTTGGCTATAAATAAATTCTCCATTAAAGCTCTATTATAAGGTTTTATCTTCCTTAAATAATACTTAATATGATTTAGATCTCTCGCACATTGTCTTTTTCTAAAATTGCAAAGGGATATCTTTCAGAGAAAAATTTGAACTGTAATTTACATATAAGTGGTGTCACATTTGGCTTTGTTTTGCAGTAATGGTTCACCTTTAATTGATCAACCAAGTGAGATGATATGTTTCAGCAAGTTTCCTAGTACTATATAACCCAGAATACAATTCGGTGTATGTTTGAGGGTACATAGAGAGGTAGTAAAAAATGTTTCTTTTCCTTAGACTTTTACAAAAACAGAATATGTGCGTGTGCACCCAGGTTGCATTATTGTATTCATGCACTCAGCACACGCATTGAATCATCTTCCAAATATGACACTTCTAGGTATGGTTACCAAATGAGTGAAATGAACGTATTTTTTTAATACAAGGGATTCAAGGAAAATGCAAGGGTTTTAGTTCATTGAATCTTAAATTTATATAAAGCAAGTAATGTGTTGTTTAGTTTCTGAATTTCAATGGGTGTATACTAGACACTTTAAAGTTTTTATATTTATAAAAATTCAATTTACAAAAAAGGTGCAGCTTCAATCTTAATTCAATCAGAATGAATTTGTATTTAAAAGGCAGAGATCGACTGCAATTATAAAGTTGTTCGATGCTCTTAAATCAATTCATGTGCTGATGCTTGGAGTTCAAGCCACATTATTAAAATGTAGTGTCTGACTCTTGAATTTTCCAAAGCAATAAGGGAGATCTCTGAAGGACAACAAAAGAATGGGAAAGGAGCGAGTTTGCCGCTGCTGATGCGGCATCTCCATTCATTTCATTCATTCATTTCATTCACAGCAATCTGTCACATTTTAGTTTCTGTTTCCAGATAGAAATGGGGGATAATACTGGAAATAGTAATGCATAAGTGGACAGGGTCTGACCATTAAAATGTTTACCATTTCCAGAATGATGCCTGCAGATGTTACAAAATTGAAACTGGATAGGTGTTAGAATTGCTGCCGGTTTCTATTCATTTGAATGGCAGCAACCCAGAACACTCTTTTACGGTTTCGTGTGGAGGGTCAATCCATTATCTTTTTTTCCCCTCCCTGAGATCAAATAGCATTTTTGTGAGGATTACATCCCTGTAGTAAGCAGCAATGGAACTAATACTATGAGGTTTGAATGTCAAGCTTATTTCCAAATCCCACTCCTTTACAATTGCAGAGTTGACTTAGAAATTGAAATCCCCATTTTGTAATTGTTTTTTAAAAGTTTTTAATGGAAAACTCTTCTTTCAAAATAAGCATTACAGAATTCATTGGAAATAAAAAGTAGCAGAAGAAAAAATATGTTTTTGTATCATCTGGAATTCTAGCAAGATTGTACGGAGGCCAAATAACTGATATTTACAAACTAGTTTTGTGCAAGTAATTTCGTCAGCAGTTTTTTTGTAAATGAGGAAAATGAAGCATATAAAGGTTAAGTATATTTATTCCAAGATGTACATGCTTAGCCTGCAGTTATAAAACTTAGTGATTTTTGGAGACAATAGTCTATCTGGCTTTGAATGATGCACTTAACATAAAACTTATATAAAAGAGTCATATTTGTTTTAGAAAAAGATAATTTTAATCTATAATAAAAGATGAGTGAATTCCACAGCAAAAACATTGGAGAGTATTATCACCACGTATATTTTAAAATATTACGGAATATTATTTCCAGGAAACTACTCTTATTAACTCCCATTTGAAGAGTAAAATCGGATTGTGAATAAATGGATTCCTGTTTCTCACAAACACTCTCTACTGAAACCTTCTAGAAAGAGTTGTCTGTACTTGCTGGCTTCAACATTCCCTTTCTTCTTTCTAAACTCCACTTGAATCAGGCTTTTATTCCTAGAAATAAGTCAATATTCTTGGCAAGGTTATCAAAAAGCTCCACGTACTGAACTCCGACAGTCAGTTCTCAGTTCTCATCTTACCTCTATTAGTATTTGACTTACTATTCCTTCTCGAAACAAAATCTTCACTTGGCTTTAAGGATATCACAACCTCCTAGTAGATGATACTCTTATCACAGTAACCATTTTTTATTATCATTCTCCATTTGCTAGTTTCTCTTTAGTTTCCCATCATCTAAATCATTGGGTAGTCTGACTAGCATTTCTATCTGCATTTTCTCCTTTGTGATCCTCTTTCATAAGCTTACATACCAACTATATGTTCATAAGACCCCATTAACTTTAGGTTATCTAAAACCTGGTCATCTCTTATTAGATTTGGATATATAACTAAATGCTTGACAATTCCATTTGGAATTCTAAATCAGTAACTCAAATATAACAAGTTGAAAATTTAACCAAAATCTTAATTTCTCCCTCTTTACCACCAATATTGATGATGTCTTCCCCATCACAGATCATAGGTAAAGTAAAACAATAAAAATAAAAAATAAAAAAACAAACAAACAAAAGAAACAGATTACTCCCAGGTATATAGTATAGAGTATGATGTCTAGCAAACAACTCTTACCCCCATTTACAGAGGAAAATCATATTTTTTGTAAATCTGCAAATCATACTAATTTTATGCCTGTCTATAAATTTGTGTAATAAATATTACACTATATTCATATAAAGGAGTGCTAGCGCTATGTCCATGCATATTGACTTGACAGTAGACAAATACAGTTCAAGTCAAAGGCAAATCTCTTAGCCTCCTGTCCTAACCAATTGCTTTTCTTCAATTGCTCTTATAAATAGTATGAAATATGTAAGACTGCTATAAGTATTAACAGCCTCAGAGTTTAATGAATACCTATATTTTTTTCAGGTCTTAAAGAGGAATCAGAAATGAATAAGATCTCATTTAATATAATTAAATGCATTTCTGAACCTTTCCCTATCAGGATAAACAAGAAGTAGGTCTAGCTACTGCCTGTTATCAAGATTTCTAATGACAAAACCGCAGGAGTAAGTCCAAACAAGTTTCTCAATTAGGAACAATGGCACAGAAAGTAAAAACAGCATCAAGTGAAAATAAGATAAATCATGAGGTTGCAGAAGCTGACATACAAATAAAACAGAAGTATTCACTGGTTGGTGGTTTGAGTAAAGTGGAGCACAAAAAACTTTTAGAATGTAAGTTTTGTTAGAGTCGAGTCGTGATTTGTTTTGTCCTCTGCTGTATCCACAGGTCTGAGAAGGATGCCAGACACCTGACAGGCACTCAAGCATTTGATGAATGAACAAAATGTTGTTGTGACCTATTCCAATCCTGAGCATGTGTTTGCACAGTCATTCTAGATTCATTTAGGGGTACTGGTTCCAGAACTAGAATCCAAAGTGAATTATGAGTATAACATCAGGGTTTTGTTTCTCTGTCTCTCTCTCTCTGTTTCTCTCTTTTTCTTTGTCTATTCTGAGGTAGTTGATTGGTCTGCGAAGGGTAAAATATGGCAAAAATGATTTCCATTTGGTGTTTGTAAGTTATTTCAAAGACATAGCAGCTTGAGAATAAAAATTCTTTTTTTCTTTCTCAAGTCTGATGTTCAGCTGTTTAGTGGATGTAACATGAATTTCTTTTGAGTCTCCTTCTTTCATATAATCTTTGAATCTTAAAAAGTATGTCAAGAGTCTCTAAGATTCTAATTTTAAATTGTCTTCAAACATCACACACAAACTGAACATAAGCACTTCTTTAACTAATAGGCAAAATTTGCCAAGGTGTATATTTTTTCCTTGATAACTGCCTGTATAGGCTAGGGCAGGTAATCAAATTCTGATGAGCATTTTCTCCTCAACCAAAAGTAATAAAACAATTACACACTACTTGCCTCCAGATTGTTCCCATTGAACAACATGAGGTGATTTTCCCACCATCTGATGTTTTAAGCATCCATGGATAATTGCTCCATAGGCTTATATTTAAATGATCTTTAGAAGATAACACTTTTTAAGTCTTCTTCCCAGAATGTTATGCAAGTAGCATTTTTACATAATCTGCATAAGAATATAGAGCTTCACTAAAAGTTACTGGACACCAAATGTGATTTAAAACGTTATTAAAAATGTAAGCACAAATTTGACAATAACATATTTTCATGATATTTTCTATTGACTGGACATTTATTTCTTTAGTTTCTAACAAACTCTGTTTTCCTGAGGCTAGGTAGAATGTTTGAAATGTTTACCAAAAGGCACACTAATATTTCATGGGAAACATGCAAATATCTTTATAGAGTTGATAAAAATATTATTTTAGAAGATAGTAGACATTGTCTTTGTTCCCCTAATTTCCTGACTTAAGCCATTGTAAATATGCAATACCCAGAATGAAGTTTATTATCTGAAAATTACATGAGGTATACAATATGTACAAAAAACTTGTAGGCTTCCAATATTTTTATGAATATTTTGCCCACTGTAGTTTGACCCTTTTGTTTCCTTATCTTTAATTGAAAGTTTAAAATTTAAGCCTATGTTGATCTTAAGGCACAACTAGTAATTTATCAAAGCAAAAGTTCTACTAAGTAAAAGTATTTTCATACTTCCATATAAAACCTGTATTGTGCCCTCACAATCATCTTTGTGATTTATCTACTGTGTGTTTACCCTTCAGTCCCATCACTTTCATCTTCTTACTTTGAAAAAAACCGACATTTCTTCAAACTATTCCATTTTCTTTGCAACCCAGAATGGCAATAAAATAAATAAAAAATGAGTACCACACCTATTTATTTAAAATGCATTGAACACTGATAGTGTGCCAAGTAAAGCTTTAAGACCTGGTGATACAGTCATAAACAAAACTAACAAAATCCCTGGCCTCATGAAGCAATGAAGCTTACATTCTCATGGGGTTAATAATAAACATTGAGAAATAATGTCAATTGGGGATCAATGATATTGAAGTAAAGTAAGCAGAATAAAAGAGTAGGGAGTGACTAGGAGTGCTGTTTTGGCCAGAGTGATCTGGAAGTTCTCTGTGCAGGGTGCAACTTTTGAGCAAAGTCCTGCATGAAGTTTGAGAGCTGGCCAAGGATGTACCTGGGGGGAAAATGTTCCCCTAAAGAGCAAATGGAAAACCTTAAGATAGGAATGTGTATAGGTACTAAAGTGCAAGGAAGCCAAGGTAGCTGAAGGAGAAGTGATAAGGATTTACTGAACCTATCATATAGCAAGATAAAGCAACTAAGATAAAATTAACATTGAAGGGCTTATGAAAAGTGAAAATTTACCAAGATGATGTAAAACTACTGCCTGACTTAGAAGTTGCAGATTTGAATATTAAAGATATTAGGCCAAGGATGCAATATGTGATCACTACTAGTAAGTATAAAGAATATATGGATTGGCGTTTGTCTATTTAATATTCCATCTATTTTCTGAATATCACTAATTTATTTTCATGTTATTTGTGCAAAAAAAGTTTAACATGACCATAGAAATAAATGCATACATACATACAAATATAAACATGCATTTGTTTAAATGTTATTTGTGAGTATTTTAACATTCTTTTCCATATATAGCTATTGTATCACACTAGAGTGAATATTTCATTTTATAATACTGCTCTATGGCAAATATTTTTGAAAGATAACAGAGAATTGTTGTCTTTTGTACTTCAGAACAATACCATCAGATGGAAGACATCTGGAGTATATTTTCAAGCTCTATATTACAGATCTCTTAAAAATCAGAAAGTAATTAGGCAAAGGAGATAAAGAAGTAAAAGCATGTTTATTAAAAAAAATTTACCAAGAATATGGAAACATTATAAGAACAATCTGTTCTGTAAAAGAAGTACTACCTTGAAATAATAAACTATAAGAGACTGAATTTTAATGGACTTTTCTTAAATAATGATGATTCTAATGCAAACACTAACTTTGTTTTTCATATAAAATTTTCTAAATTGTTTTACCTAGCCATTTTAAAAAACACGTTAGCAAGTTTTGTGTTTGGGAAATAAAAGAACATACAGAAGAAAAATTACAGTGTATTATTTTTCTCATAAGCAATTTATATTTCACATTTTTCTAATGAAATTAACAGAATCACTTACCTTCTTGAATACTATTTCAGAATCAGCCAGTTTAATTTATGGGTAACACTATTTTAAAAGAAAAATGCTACCTTTAATATTATTTTGTTAATTATAATTTATTTGTTAAATGTCTGGTATGAATGTTTTTAGTGATTTAAACATATTTTTCAGTAACTTGGCAAATGATGGAAAAATCTGTTATTACAAGCATAAATTAGACTTATTTAATCCTTATGTTAAGAAAACTATATGAAATGTTTCTATAGCTGAAAAAAAGTTAATGTTATTAAACTAATTTTAAACCATAACTTCATCAGAAGTGTTCTATACTTTCAATTGCTATGCTATATTACTTGGAATTTTAAGTGAGTTTACTACACAAAAAATGATATAGAGTATATAACTACAGCTAAAGTGTCTTTATAGACCTAGGTAGACATAGAGTTTTAGTATCATAACTTGTTTTATACTTTAGGAGTTAGGGTCTGTATGTTTTATAATAACAAATCCTCTATTGCTGCATGGGGCGGGGCAGCTGTAAGTGAATGGCTATCTTGGTTGAGGATACCTTTCAATAAAAATATGGAAAAAATTAAGGACTATAGATATGAAAAAATAGAGAAACAATATTTGTAACATTTCATCAAGCTTCGTAACACATTAAGGTTTGTTATTTTATAATTTATGTTACCCAAAATAATTACCAGTAAAATCACTGAAATTAAAACTACTAGTGAACTTCTCTCTGAAGAGAAAAAGAAGCTTTTCTTTAGAGATGGACTTCTCATACATGGCATGCATCATGGCTGATTGAAAGTTGAAAGGAAAGAGTTTAAATCCCTGGGCTATGGCAGCAAGAAATTTTTAAAAATATAAATATATATTACAAATACATAAATACACATTATATTGTAAAATGTAAATACATAAATATACAAATATAAATATAGGCTGGGAACTGCTTCTGAGGCTTTCAAAATAGCAGGTATTAATACATCTTTCAAATAGAAGAACAATATAAACAGAAAAAAGAAATTAGACCCAAATGACTAGCTGATATAAAAAAGACTCCCTTCCAAAGCAAGCCATGAATTTAATCATTGTAATAAATCAAAATTACTTTATGAGGAAAAGCTATTTGAATTTCCTCTGACCCTGATGGTGGTCTCATACATGATTAGAAATGAAGTGCCACTGCACTCCAGCTTGGGCAACACAGTGAGACTTGGTCTCAAAAAGAAAAAAAAAAAAGAGAAAGAAAAGAAAAGAAATAAAGGGTCCTGGTCTTTGATGACTTTAATGTATCACTACGAAGACTATAAACTATAAAATACAGATAAAGAATGAAGGAATAACAATTAGAACAAACCATGTCAAGTATAGAAATGGATTATGTTAAACAACTCTTGGATGAAAAGGAAAAAGCACATACCAGAATAAAAAAAATACAATTTATGAGATTTAAAACTGATCAAAGGAGAGGATAATGTATTGCTCTAAGTACTTTTGTCACTAAAAATGAAAGAATGAAAATGAATGTGTCAAATTTTCAGCTCAAAAACCAGAAATAAAGCAAAATGATAAATTAAAAGAAAGCACAAAGAAGGAAATAATAATAAATGAAAAATTAATGTTAGAGAATAGAAAAAGCAAAAAAAAAAGATACATAAAAATCCTGCTTTTTAAACAAACCACTAGTTTATTTTATCAAGAAAAGTGGGAGAATGAGAGAGAGGACATGACAAAGAGAAAATGGCCATTTTAACAGTAAACACAAAAAAAATTATTGAGCTACTTTTCTCTATTCAAATAGATTCAAAAACCTATAAAAATGAGTAATTCGCTAGAAAAAGTTTATCAAAATTAACCTCACAGAATTCTTATATAGTCAAATTTCCGTAGAAAAAAATAAGAGAGTTGTGAGGAAATTACCTCAGAAAAGGACCATTGCAAAATATTTTCACTGGGGAATTGTTTTAAACTTCCAAATGAGGCGGGAGTGTTCCCTGACCCTCTTGTGGGACTTGCGATGGTGGGAGGGATGGCTTGTTTTGCTCACCACTGAGTTCAAACCCCTTGTGGGAGGGAGAGGATACAGGTGAGTGGATGCAGGAGCTGGGGTGAGTGCCCTTAAATGCATTTATGAACCATTCTTGTACTGGCCCACAGCAGTGTCTAGTGGTTGACCGTGACCTCTAGAGCCCCAGAGGGTGTGTGTTTCAAACAATGCCCTTTTAGCAGTGGCAGTCCATAGATGGCTAAGTGTTAACCAGCTCAGTGGAGAGTAAGGGTGATATATACCCTACCCTCTTGGTACCTGGGTTCTTGTCTGGTATCCAGGAAGTATCAGGTCATGGGAATTTGAAGGATGGTGAATGAAGAGGTTTTATTGAGTGATGGTGGTGGCTCTCAGTGGGATAGGGAGCTTGAAAGGGGATGGAGTGGGAAGATAACCTTCCTGAACTCCTCTCTGAATGTCCAGCTGCCTCTTCGACATTCAGGCACTTACTCTCTTTTCTTCTCTGCCACACCACTCTGCTCCTCTGCCAGGGGAGTTTGGGGTTTTTATAGGTAGAGGATGGGGGTGTGGCAGGCCTGGGTGGTTTTGGAAAAAGCAACATTGGGTGGGAAAAATAAAGATGTGGAGTTCTCATTTAGGGCTGTGGGCCCAGGCTTGTGAGTGGGGCCTTTTCCAGGGAACCACCCCCCTCTACCCAGTATTTCCCTGCCTCCTGTCTGTATCACAAACACCAAACAGTCTCAATGCTCCATAAATTGTTCCAGAGCATTGAAAATGAAGAAAATCTATCAATAACTCTTATGAAGCAAATATATTATTAAAGCTCCTAAAAACAGTACCCAAAAAATAAAGCCAGATCATTATTACTTTGCTGTAAAAGTGTTAAATGGAATATTTGCAAACTGAATCCAATGCTACATTAAGAAAGTAATATATGAAAACCAACCAGCATTTATTCCATGAATTCAAGGCTGATTCAATATTAGGAAAATCATCAATATAATTCACTAGATTATTAGATGTAATCATGTTACTATTTCTATATATGATGGAAAAGCCTTCAGCAAAATTTAACATCCAATTCTGATTTTAAAAAAAAACTCAAAAATTTATTTATTCTTGACAATGTATTTATCTATATTTATATATAATTATCTATTATCTGTCTATCTATCTTAGTTTTCAAGACAGCATCTTACTTAGAGGAAAATATCAGAGGAATTTACATTAAATTCAGGAATAGGGCAAAATGCCTACTACCTTTTCTACTATTTCACATTGTACTATTATACTGGAAATAGATCTATTTCAGTTTGCAGATGAGATGATAATAGAGATGAAAGTTCCTAAAGAATAAATTAAAAATTACTTTTAAACAAAGAAAAATTTCAATAAGTTATAAAGTTGAAAGAAGAAAGGAAAGCATTTTAAATCTCCGGGCTATGGCAGGGATTTATAGAACAAACATACTGAAATCAAATTGTCTTCGTATAAAAAAAAAACTGCCCATTAGAATATAAAGAAGTCAATTACAGTGGCAATAAAAGTTAAGTACTGAAGAATATACTTAATACTAAATGTAGAAAGCGTAAATGAGGAAACACTTTTTAAAAACCCTGAAAGACACAAAAGTAAGTTTGAATCAATGAAAAGGATCCATACTCTCGATTAGGACAACTCACATGCATAATGACCTCAGTCTTCTCTATGTTAACATAGAAAGTTAAAATAATACTACCCCAAAACACAAACACACATTTTTTTTCTTATATCACTGCACAGGTTAATACCAAAAGTAATATGGAAAAATGAGAAAATAAGCATGTAAAAATTACCAGAAAAATTTAGGGGTCAGACTTACCAGATATTAGAAGCCTCTATACTAGACTAACAGTTTATGGAAATGCAATAGAAAATCCAGAAACAGATCCAAATATACAAGTAAATACGCTATATGATAAAGGTGACATATCTAATCACTATTCACTATTGCATCATTTCATAGGCAGCAACCCCTCCCACCTTTTTATTTTTTTTTTTGAGACAGGATATTGCTCTGTCACCTAGGCTGGAGTGCAATGGTATAATCATAGCTCTCTCTAATCCCAAATTCCTGGGCTCAGGCAATCCTTTTGTCTCAGCCTCCCAAGTAGCTAGGACTACAGGTATGCCACCAGACTTGGTTAATTTTTAAAATTATTTTAGAGATGGGGTCTCGCTATGTTGCCTCGGCTGGTCTCCAACTCCTTGCCTCAAGTCATCCTATCGCAGCTTTCTGAGTTGCTGCAATTACAGGCATAAGCCACTGCACCTGGTCCCAAAGACAGCCTTTTTAATGAATAGTGCTGAGACTTTGGTTAGCCATTTGAAAAAATATAAAAGCAATTCCTTATATCAACTGTGTGAAGGAATGTATTTCAAATGGATCAGGAATCTAAATGTTTAAAAAAAATGAAACTATTAAAGTATTAGTATATAACATGTTTGAATTATTCTATAAACTGAGTATAAAATCACAAGACACCAAACAATTAAGGAGATTATTTATTCAGGCAATTGTAACAGAAAAAACATTAAATAATGAGGAACATCTCAAATAACTGGATTTTATAGAAGCAAGCAATCAAGAGAGTCATTCAGGAGACTTATGGGAGTCATGCAGAACCGTTGGGATGAGTATGTCTTATCTGAGTCATTAAGAAAAGGTGGAGTTGGGCCTTATCACTGAATACCTGAGAACGGAGTAATCCTTTCTGGTTATCAAGTTCTGGGAAAACAAAACAGTGTGGAAACTTCTCACCCTTCTCTTTTCTTGCTGCAGAGGGCTCAATTGATTTCAATATTGTCATGAGTCTAAGACTACAATAGTCTACCCCCTTATTTATGAAGGGTATGTTCCAAGATCCGTAGTGGATGCCTACAACCATTCAGCACAAACTCTCTGCAATTATCCCAGGTTATACACAGGGGCATGGTTCCAGAATCCCCATGTATACCAAAATCCTGGCATAATACAGTCTGCGCTCAGCCCTATGGAACCCACATATAAAGAAAAGTCAACCTTCCTGATATGAGGGATTTTGCATCTGAGGAATACTGTATTTTCAATTCAAGTTTGGCTGGAGAAAAAAAAATGTATAAGTGCATTTGTGTATTGTTCAAAGGATAACTGTAGATATTATGTTTTTTCCTATACATACAAACCTGTGATAAAGTTTGATTTATAAATAGGCACAGTAAGACATTAACAATAATAATAAAATAGAACAATTATAAATGTATACTGTAAAAACTACTCTATATGATATTATAATGGTAGCTAAGTGTCATTATTTGTCTAAACCCCAGAATGTAAAACACTAATAGTAAATCCTAATGTAAACTGTGGACTTTGGGTGATAATGATGTGTGGATGTAGTTCATCAATTGCAACGCATATAGCACTCTGGTGGAGGATCTCAATAATGAGGGAGCTGGGTGCGTGAGCGTAGGAAGTCTATGGGAAATTGTAACTTCTGTTCAATATTGCTTTAAAAATAAATACTATTAAAAAAGAACTAAAAAATTGAAAGAATAGTCTAAAATCTCATAGAAAATAAATAATAAAAATTTATAAAACATTTACAAAAATTGCTTAGTGAAACAAACTTTAGTTACTATTAGCAATAAAATATTCTTTCAATCAGCAGTTGCTGAAACTTACTTTTTCTTTGTTACTACAACATTTAGTTTATATAAACCTGCTGACTTTAGTTCCTTTCCTCATCTTTTAAAGCAAGAAGATAGACAAAAAATTGCTAAAATCACTTATATACATTATTACACCTCTCTCCAAATAACTGAAATTACTTTTAAAATACATTTCTTCACCAGTCTGTGAGCCATTCAAGGTCAGGTGCTAGTTCTATTTTTTATTGTTTATCAAGCCTATGTAATAAAGATTTGTGGACATAATGAATATAATGATCATAATAATGATCATCTCAATCTGTGCTCCTATAACAAAATATCTGAAATGAGGTAATTTATAAAGACCAGAAATTTACTTTTTCACAGTTCTGGAGCCTGGGAAGCCCCATATCAAGGTGCCAGCAGGTTTTGTGTCTGGTGAGAACTTGGTCTTTACTACCAAGTTGGTACTTTGACCTCACATGAAGGAAGAGCAGAAAACAAACCCACTCCCTCATGCCCTTTTATAAAGGCCCTAATCCCATCCACTAGAGCTCACCCTTATACTTAATCATGTTCTAAAGGGACCACCTTTTAATACTTTCACATTGGTAATTAAGTTTCAACACATGAATTTTGGAGGCCACATTCACACCATAGCAATGATATTAAGAGAACAAATGGATAATGAGGGAATGTATATCATGGAGTAACTTTGTAATTTACTTAATTACAAACTTGACTAGAAAGTATCAATGGAAGAAAAACTTTTCCTCTACCAGCTTAGGTCCCAGTAGTAGAGGTGCTTTTGAACCATTCCCTTGGAGATACCTGGAGTTTGAGGAAAAATTGAAACTGGAGATATAAATTTCTATAAATTTAGTTGGAGGCCACATGATTTTAAAACTATGAATCTTGAGTATAACTGGAGAGGAGGGCTCTAAGGAGTAAACCCCAGAATATTCTAATTTTTAGGATACAGGGAGATGAGGAGGATATAACAATGGGAGACAGAAGGGGAGATCGGTGAGGTAAGAGGAGCAACAGAAATCTGTCAGAGAAAAAGAGGCCTGAGCTCTTAGGTGGTCAGGTGGTCAGTTAAGACAAGAAGCCAAACTGAAAAGAACAGTCAGGCTTTATACACTTCCTCAGGTAGTATAATCAACACCCAAAGCAGGAAAAGCTGCCAGTTTTCCCAGCATTTTCTATTTTTCCCTGTGGAATGGTACTAGATGTATTAACGTAGAATGTATGTCCCATTGCCATAGAAGCCTTGCTCTAAAGATTTATGATGTTTTATAGACCGAGAGGCCAGAGGGAAAAGGCCAGGAGGAAGGAAGAAGGGAGATAAATAGGAATGAGAAAGTGCTGAGAGTAGAGAATAGTGCCTTCAAAGTCCCTTGATGAGGAAGTCTCTGTAGAGGTAACCAAGAAAGGACTTGGGTAAGGACTTCACATATAGAGGGCCTCTGGATGGAAGCACCTGAGCTTGGAATGCAGCTATATACAGGAACATTGCCAGTGCAGGTGGGCTTGAGTCCTTGTCTGTGACTCCCTCCAGAGACTGCATTGCACTGGTCTGCAGCACAACTGGTGTTAGGCGGGCAGCTTTACCCTGTGAGATCTGCCATGTAAAACCTTTATAATTGCCCTATGGCTGGGTGTGCAAGTTTATATATAGGATTTTGACCTGCAATAGGACTCTCCAAAAGTGATGTCCCAGAAGCCAAATAGTGAGTGACCAAAGGAGTCAAATACTTTTGAGAACTCAGTAAAAGAAGAACTGAAAATGAATACAAGACTTTCAAGCTATAGTTTACTGAGAATGATGATTTCCAATTTCATCCATGTCCCTACAAAGGACATGAACTCATCATTTTTTATGGCTGCATAGTATTCCATGGTGTATATGTGCCACATTTTCTTAATCCAGTCTATCATTGTTGGACATTTGGGTTGGTTCCAAGTCTTTGCTACTGTGAATAATGCCGCAATAAACATACGTGTGCATGTGTCTTTATAGCAGCATGATTTATAGTCCTTTGGGTATCAGTAAACTATCGCAAGAACAAAAAACCAAACACTGCATATTCTCACTCATAGGTGGGAATTGAAGAATGAGATCACATGGACACAGGAAGGGGAACATCACACTCTGGGGACTGTTGTGGGGTGGGGGGAAGGGGGAGGGATAGCATTGGGAGATATTCCTAATGCTAGATGATGAGTTAGTGGGTGCAGCGCACCAGCATGGCACATGTATACATATGTAACTAACCTGCACAATGTGCACATGTACCCTAAATCTTAAAGTATAATAATAAAAGAAAAAAAAACAAATAAAACAAAAACAAACAAACAAAGAAAAAGAAATAAATAGAATACCCTATCATCCAGAAAAAAAAAAAAAAAAGACTTTCAAGCTTTGCTCTGCAGAATCGTAGGATTCCTGGAGGTGCCACATAGGTCCCTGTGACGGTGGAGCGGGAGGGTGGCATGGCCAAAAATATTCTGGAACTATCTCCCTGCTACAATAAGATCTGCTCTACTTTTATCTTTTGGGTTCCATATGAGATTTCTTTTGAAAAAGAGGGTTCCACTTCTTTTGATAAAAAAAAAAATTGAAAAGTGTTGTGTATCTTCTACTATTAAGAAAGGAAAAGAGCAGAGAGACAGACCATCCCTGTGGTCCAGACTCTCAAGGACAGCTTAAATCTGAGAGTAAATAGAGAGTAGATGATGCATCCATTTAACCAAAGTGCTGCCTTTAGGGGAGTGACAATGCAAGCCACTGAGTAAGAAAGAATAGCTGCAAAATAGAACATTGACAACTCAGAACTGGATTATATAGAAAATATTTGCAAATAAATAAGGAGTAGATAGACAATCCAAATAAGAAGGAGAGTAAATATTTACTTTTCAAAATCACCAATAAGTTCAAAAATTGGAAGAAAAAAAAAACCCAACTTCTTACATTACCAGGAAAATGCCAAAGAAAAAAGAACCCCCCAGTGAAATGCTACTGTTTATTCAAGGATTCATGACACTGTAAAAAAGACCAATAATATTTTAGACAGTTTGTACAGATTCAGGAAAATCACTATTGTTAGAAGTGATTACAATTATTACTATTATTACAATCAGTTGGAAGAAATTTTTCACAATGAGTTTTATAGCAGAACATATTTATACCCTATGACACAGAAATTCCGTACTTACATATCTACCAGAAAAGCAGATATCTGTGCACCAAAAGAAATGTACGTGAATGCTCAAAGCACAATTATTCACAATAGTCCCAAACTGAAAAGAACACATATGCATATCAAAAGTAGAACAAATAGTTGTATATACATACAACAGAGTGGTATACAGCAATGAAAATAAACATATGAAACAACATTGTAGACTCCCACAAACATAACTTTGAATGGAAAGATTCAAATGCAAAACAAAGCATGCCACATGGTTTCATCTACATAGAGTTAAACAAAAGCAAAAACAACATATGGTGTTAGAAGTATGAATAGTGGTTTCCTCTTGGAGGGGAGAACGATAGTGACTGAGATAGGACACAGATTTCTACAGTAGTTCTTGATTTTGTTATTTTTTATATAGTGTGTTTTCTTTGTGATAATTAAGCAAGATGTGCACTTAGGATTTGTGACTTTGCGTTAGTGCGTGTGTGTTTGTGTATTATGTGTGTATATTTTATAAATTTATAATACAGAATGTATAATATGTCACATATGTTTACATAGATTTGTATATGTACATGTGTATTTTATGTACATGTACATATGATATATATATGTATTTTATGTACATGCACATATGATATGTACATACATACTCCAACTTTTTAAAGTTTATAAAATTTATAAAAGTTTATGAAAACAGTGATAGAGACAGGAGGCAGCCAAGGGCCCCTGGGAAACCCCACTTTCAAGCCTAAAACAGCCTGAAGGTTAAAAGAATGGACTGCTGGTCCCACATGAAGCTCAACCTTTCTCAACTGATTCTTCGTGAATAATGTCCACCTGCTCACTAGGAGGAGCGGGTGGAGCCTCAGGAAATTCGCACCATTTGCAGGAGGGAGGAGCCTGGCCTCTGCTGTTCCTGTGTGGGGACTTGGTATTCAATCTATGAGGTAGAAGTCATTGGCAAGACCCCCTTTCCCTTTGCTGAGGGTTTTCCTTTCTTTTTCCTTTTCATCAAATAAATTCAATTTTCCTCACCCTTCCATGTGTTTGTGAGCCTAATCTTTCCCTGTCTTGTGATGAGATTCTGATTTTAGCTGAATTATGGAGAAAGTTTGGCAACAACAGTACACTGTGGCTAGAAAAATGAAGGGCTCAGAGACATTGAACAAAAAAAATGTGTTGAAAAGACAGGATATTAAAGTGTATTACTTCAGTCTTCTTCCCTTTCTCTGATCTTTCCTTCTGAGACTTCTCTTTTCTTTCCTTTTATTCCATTGCATTTGCATTTCTTTTTCTTTCTTCCTTTCTTTTTCTGTAAGATGTAACTGGCAACCTGAACATATTTTAGTAGATCCATCTCCTTTGAAGATAAATTGCATATAATGTCACTTCTAAGATAATTTGGTATTTTCTAAATAATCTTTTTTTTAAAAAAAAATCCATCAATTTGCTACATAATTTAAAACATCAAAATTCCGATGCTTGAAATAATTAAAATAAAAATATCAGATCAAATAAAGTAGGAAACTCATAGAGAACACTCCTTGTTGTATGTATCAAGTGATTATATTAAGATGACAGAAGTAGCCAGGTGAGGTGGCTGACATCTGTAACCCAGCACCCTGGGAGTCTGAGGAGGGAGGATTGCTTGAAGCCAGGAGTTTGATACCAGCCTGGGAAACATCGGGAGACCTCTTCTCTACAATCTTTTAAAATTAGCTAGGCATGGTGCTGTGAGCCTGTAGTCCTAGCTACTTGGGAAACTGAGGCAGGATAATCCCTTGGGCCCAGGAGTTTGAGGCTACAGCGAGCTCTGATAATGTTACTGCACTGTAGCCTGGACAGCAGAGCAAGACCCTGTCTCAAAAAAATAAAAATTACACAAGTAACATTAGACACAAAATTAATTCTAGTGTTCTTATGATTTCACAAAATAAAAGCCATTTAAATAAAAATAAGAAATGACAAGAACATTTTTCCCTAAGAATCACACTTTAATAAATGTACATGAATAAATTTAGAATGGGAAATATTACATATAATATCTTAATTTTATAATGTATCACATATACCTGTGTTTTTGATATAAGCTTTTCGATTTGGAAACATACATTTGCCTTTCAGCATAAAGTGGTCTAGAATGTATGTATTATTCTGATGATGCTTTTAGACCTGTTGTCAAAAAGTGTTTTACATAGGTTTATTGATAAATTTAGAACAGTGATCTGAATGCTTTTTAGCACAATTAGGAATGTTCTGAATGAATTAATACTAGCCAAAGTACAACTTCACTTTGGCCACTTTAATCTTCCATAGCTTTCACCTGATACAATCAGAATGAATGCAGATTGTTGCATATCAGGTATGTGGCTAGAGACAGCTGCGGAAACCTGCCTTCAGGAATGTCCCTGCCTGGTTTCTGTCACACGTTGTTCAGTACATTTATAGGACAGTATATCACATTTAAAAATGTATCTGAGAGGAATGTGAGAATCAATCAGGATATATCCCTCTTGGTATTTTTTTTTTGGCAAGTTGCTTTGACCATTGTTTTGGAAACAATGCCATGATATGTTTAAAATATAATCCAATCCTCGATCAGTAAAGCTGGCAGTCAAGAAATGTTATTTATAAGGAGACATATAGGTTACAGCTTATAACAAAATGTCAAAGGAAAGTGGAGGATAAACAGAGGAACCAATTTCATCTTCCAATTCAGAGACTCAATGTAAACCATCCAGAATGTATATTACAGAAAGGCAGGCATGTTAATTTAGGAGGCTTTATTTTTTCTTCAAATAGTAGGTTCTTAACAATTATCTGCTGAATGAATGAATGAAAATTGAAATTAGAAAGAGTTGGAAATTGAATCAAGTCAATTCTACTGCTGTGTCCCATTGTCACACTGTGAGGTGAAAGAGTAGTATAATCTATGGTGATGGTCATGCTAACCCCAGTGCTCATGCAGTACAGAGAAGGGCTTCCAAAGTTATTTCCGAAGTTAGATCACACTCACAGTCTCAGCCAGCTTCCAGCTAGGCTCTGGAAAATATCGATCATGTTGCCGTAACAAAGACAAATTTTTGGATAGACTATTTTACACTTTGAGGGATAATTTTTTTTTTCAGTAGGATCTTATCAAATAATGTATGGGACTTTTTGAAAATATTAACAGGAAAAATATGCTAATGATGTAAGGTTGAGGAGAGAATGAAATAGAGAGATGGGCCCAATATAAATCAGAATACACTGAGAAGTACCTCAATTCTCAGCAAGGAGACTCTCCATATGAGATCATCGATTATGCTTATTTTGTTCTTCTTAGTTTTTATATTTACACAATTTTCTATAATAAACTTTTTTCAATTATAAAAATTTTAAAAACATTAAAAAATTAACTTTTTAATAGACATAATAAGAACATGATAGCTTTCATCCTAGTAACGAATCTCAAGACAATACTTCAACTGTTAGAACAGAGAATACAAACAAATTATCCCTATGGAATAGCTGACCTTTACTAACCTTTTGATTTCTCTGAGCCTGAGACTAACACTGGCCTACATGTCTGACTCCCATCTTTATACCCCAAATCCTGTAAAAACCAAGTAATCTTTTTTTTCAAAAAAGAAAACAACCACAGATATGTACACACAGATACAGAAATAAAAACAAAGCTAACAAGTTTTAAAAGAGACTAGAAGATGAATGAGATTTTAGGACTATTAAAAGCTGTTTTTAATAACCTCCTTAAAATGAAAAATAATGTAATAAGACATCCCTTTTATTCTTTTTGAATCATGTCAGAAAGTCTTTGTCTTATGCTTATTTGCTGAAGTGAATGATGCCGCTGAACCTCGTTAGATCACTTTGTCTTTATTTCCTCTTCCAGAACATGTCATTTCACTTTTCTTGGAGCTGATCAACATCCATCACACATTTTCTTTCAAGCTGACAATATACACAGGGAGTTTTGAATTTTGTGAACTCTTCTATTATTATTAAGTGTTGTCAATTGTCAGCATCCATATTCTATTCCGATGATGAATAGAAGCATTATATTTCAGCATCAAAATGCAGTTGGGGTCGTAATGAGCATCATTAGGGACCTTAATGGGAGTCAGAACTGTATGTCATTTTATTCAGGTTTTTCTAAGTTTATTTGTGTTTTTTTGGTTAGTTGGTTTTTCTTTTTTCTTTTTTTTACATTTTTCTACCAAGCAGGTGAGAGTAGAACAGCATTGTGATTTTAAAAGTACACCATTTGTAGAGTCTTCCAGTACCGTTGGCTATGCAGGATTTTCACAGCAGGTTTGAACCCAATCTGGTGCCTTGAACATCCCCAGGCACTGATAAAAGTATTTAGGCTGCTGCCAAAAAAGGCCTCAGTCCTGAGCCAGATTCCTTAAACTCTCAAATAAACTCCATAATCTTACTTCATTGCTGTGGACATACTTAGGAAGAACATCCCTCTTCTCTTACTGCCTCTGGTGAGAATTCCTGCAGCCCACTCTTTATGCAACTTCCTCTAATAAATGCTTTGGACTGACCACTCTGATGTTTAGTGCTTCTTTCTTTGGAACCTCAACTAGCCCCATCTTGGCTAATTTGGGGCACTCTTGTGGAAATTCCTCTGCAGCTGCTTTCGGGGCAACTCCAGCCACAGGTTTGGCTGGACTAAACCCCATTCCACCACATCTATTCACAAAACATCTGTTTCTATTTCTATCTAGTTGATTGAGTTTTAATGAAGACTTCAACAGCCATTAAATGTATAGTAACAGTCCTTCTTAATACCTACTTTTACTTTCAAATCTTCCTTGTAAATTCAGTTTGAGGCTTTACTGAACATACATTTTAAAATATGTATTGGATAACTATATGCTTAAATTTGAATATATTAGATGTCTATAATAGAAATAAAAAAATTGCTTTGGAGTCTGACTCATAAAATAAGTGATCCCTTGATTTTGCCTTAGAACTTAGCATACATGTCTGTTTGCAGAAGTTGTCAGTTACATGGTCAATATGATACACTGTGTGTTAGTGACAACAGACATCCCTATGGAACCTTCTTGGTGTGTGTTAGTAATCCATAGTTCTATGTAGATTAAACATAGACTAATTTTCATAACCTAAAATCACCTTTTTTGACTTCTACAAATTGAGACAATTCTAAAGGGAAACATAACTTTTCAGAATTTAATTTTTATTATTTTGTTGTGTCACTTCCTATAATTTTTATGTAAATATCATTTTAAAGCTTTCTGTGGATACATAAAAATGATGTTTTATTAACCAAAGAGATTAGGTGACTCCTTCTTATTTCATAAGCCAAGTTAACTAGCACTGTACCTTTCACTCTGAAGTTAGAGAATTAAAGATCTCAGACTTAATTTGAAGAATCAACTCTAGTACTCTGGAAAATGGATTTTTTTTCTTGGTAATAAAAGAATATAAGAATTCCCAAATGAAACATCAATCACAACTCAGACATTCCAACTCCTACTGCTATATTGGGAACAGAAGTAAAAATCAATGCTGGATAAAGTGCCAAATGCAAATTACCATTGAAAGAGAAACATTGCTCTGGGTATAATAGCAAAGCTGTATAAGGTGATATCTGAGAGGTGACAGGCTCATGAATAACACTTCTTAGACTCTCTTTTGAACTATGGCACTGGTCAAAGTAGTTAAGGTAGAAATATGGATCAAATCGTGTTTTCTAATTCACTCATGTGACATTTCAAAATAGATGCAAATTTAAGGACAAAGATATTTTTCCAAATGTTCTGAAATACTAGATTAAACCACATATATTTATCTTCTTAGTTGAAGCTATTATTATTTCCAGCAATATTCAGTAGGAAATAATCTCATTCCAATATTTAAAGCATAGTATGTCTGTAGGTTAAAAGTAATTTATAATAAAAAAATAGAAATAAAATGGAAAAAAATTAATACCAGGTTTTATACTCATTAGTTGTATTTTTCTGGTCATTTCCAAAAAAAAATTTTTTTAAACTATATAGTTTTCTGAAGACCTGTCACTGTCATAGCTAACACAAATAGAAAGCATTTTATAAAAACCATATAATATTAAATTTTAGAATTACCATTATTTTCCAAGGACCTTGGCTATTATCACATTCAGCAGTTCAGTAAGATGAGATTTCATCTCTATTTCTATTAATTGGGGGGAAATCTCTCTCTCTTTCTCTCTCTCTCTCTCTCACACACACAGACACACACACACACAGACATACACACACAGACACACATCCTTGTATTCTTACTAGCAGTTTTAAAAGATGCACAGTTTTTTTTTTTTTTTTTTTTTTTTTTTTTTTTTGAGAGGAAGTCTTGCTCTGTTGTCCAGGGTGGAGTGCAGCGTCACAATCTCAGCTCACTGCAAGCTCTGCCTCCCGGGTTCATGCCATTCTCCTGCCTCAGCCTCTGGAGTAGCTGGGACTACAGGCGTCCGCTACCACGCCTGGCTAATTTATTTTTTTTTAGTAAAGATGGGGTTTCACCGTATTAGCCAGGATGGTCTCGATCTCCGACCTCGTGATCCGCCTGTCTCAGCCTCCCAAAGTGCTGGAATTACAGGCGTGAGCCACCGCACCCGGCTGCACAATTTTTTTTAAAATGTTACAAAACAGGTTGGTTGTGGTGGCTCAAGCCTGTAATCCCAGAACTTTGGGAGGCAGAGGCAGGCGGGACACGAGGTCAGGAGTTTGAGACCAGCCTGGCCAATATGGTGAAACACCGTCTCTACTAAAAATACAAAAATTAGCTGGGCGTGGTGGTGCACACCTGTAGTCCCAGCTACTTTGGAGGCTGAGGCAGAAGAATCGCTTGAACACAGGAGGCGAAGGTTGCAGTGAACCAAGATCAGGTCACTACACCCCAGCCTGGGCGACAGAGCAAGACTCCACCTCAAAAAAAAAAAAAAAAAAAAAAGCCCGGGCACGGTGGCTCACGCCTGTAATCCCAGTACTTTGAGAGGCTGAAGCAGGCAGATCACCTGAGGTCCGAAGTTTGAGATCAGCCTGACCAACGTGGAGAAACCCCGTCTCGACTAAAAAAAAAGAAAAAAAAGAAAAAAAAATTAGCCAGGCATGGTAGTGCATGCCTGTAATCCCAGCTACTCTGGAGGCTGAGGCAGGAGAAAGGCTTGAACACGGGGAGGTGGAGGTTGTGGTGAGTTGAGATCGCCCCATTGCAGTCCTGTCTGGGCAACAAGAGTGAAACTCCGTCTGAAAAAAAAAAAAAAAAAGCTACAAAACTTATCTCTATGCTGAAAATTCAGCCTAATTCTAGGACTATAATGAGTATTTTCCTGTCACTGGAGTCTTTTTTATCAGTTTAACAACTATACATAATTCCACTTTCCAGGACTCTGACCAACATTAGCCCATCATGCCTCTCTTTCTAATATTTTGTTCTTTCTTTCGTTTTTTGTTTAGTGCTAAGCAATATGGCAAGCACAAGCAATAGTAACAGTAGTTTCATTTTCTTTTTGAATAACCACTTTCCTTTTAGATTCCTTTAAGTACACGGTGTGTGACATATACACAGGTGATATTAACCAGAAAAGAAAGCAGCCCACGTCTGTTATTTTTATACACGTGCTTTTGGTGCTCATTATTCCATTTATGGAAAAGTTCAGGGAATATGTTATGCCTTGATTAGGAAAGTAGAATGCATGAACATGGGTGAACTAATTCTAATAATTTCTGTGCTTGGTATAGTATAGAGATACTTATGTAAGCTTTTACTTTAGTATTACTTATGTTAAGTCCAGGGGGTCATTTTAGGTTAGTTATCACTTACCTTATATCACTGTATTTCAAATAGTTTGTTTTAGATAAGTATTTTTATGTACATAGTTTGATTTTTTAAATATCTTTTTTGTCCTGCAAGTATGAATCTCTGTTTTTTGTTTTGCTTTGTTTTGTTTTGTTTTTTTGTGGGGTGGTTGGTTTTCCCCCATGGGCATTTGCCTAGGTGCTGATGTTCTATGTAATTTAGTTAAAGATAAATATTTAATTGATTGCCGAAGCATGATCAGATTCCATGTGTCACATAATTGCAAACATGATGAAATCAACTTAAAAATTATGTGAAAATAGATTTTATATTAAAAACAACCTTCCATGGGAATAAACAGATATGAGAATACTGGAAATAGAGAAAATTAATTGAATAATGAAGGGGAGGTTAGAACACAAAGGCCAGAGGTAGACAAAAAAGCGTAAAGGATATGGGACTTATGATTGGTCCTTAGGAGAGACTTTCTACGTGGGAGGTGAAAATGTGCACACAACTGGAGACACTACTACGATTTCTGTTTTATTGCTAACCTACTTACTCCAAAAGGATATCTTGTTTAGCTCACCCACCCAATGATGTTAACCCACATAACAAGGTCAGTCATTCTATCTAAGCTTCTTTAATTTGCATAATGTAATTACACTTTTTTTTCCCCTCTTCTGCAACACTAATGCACTGAATGAATCAGTGGTTATTTTTATAGCAGCAAAGATCACAGATGCTTTTTTTAGGCTTTCATAAAACAATCTTACTACTGGGGAGAAAAAAGTAAAAGTAAGACTCTGTGCCCAGATTGCCTATATTTATGGCTGCACTGAATATATTAATATAAAGAAAGCAATGTTCAACAAATGGAGCAGAAAAAGAATACATAGCTGTACAGAAGTTTTCAAGATGGAACATTTCAAGAAACTTAATTCAATCCATGTGTATTATAGAAAACACAGACAAATGCGTGCACATATATACCCATAAACATACAATTTAAGCACAATAGAAGATGTAGAAAAGAATAATATGTCAAACCTTCCCAAGGAAGTTTGCTACCATGTGAAATTGCAAACATGTATGCAGTAAGCTATAATATGAACTATTCATGCTATAAAAATGTTCTATAGAGCAATAGTAGCACAGAAATATAATTATTTTATGAGATATATTGCTATGACAGGCAATCTCTTTAATTATCATAGACATAAATGCCATCTGGATGATGACATCATGCTTTCAAAATGTATACACATATACGCACATTCACACATATACATATATGTATATAAAACTAGGTATATATGAAAGTCTATCTATCTATCTATATGGGTATGTCTATATATCCATAACAGTTGTCCCCTCAAAGCTCCAGACCCACATGCTCAGTTGCTTACCTGACAAATCTTGGATATCTCATGAGCATTTCAAATGTATCACCTCCAAAGCTGAGCCTTTGGTTTATTACTTGCCCGCAAAGATTACCTCCATCAGTCTTATCTTCTTACAAAATGGTACCACTAGTTACTCATTTGCTTATATCAAAACCTACATAATTTTGACTCCTTCCTTTTCCTGACTCCCCACATATAAGTCAGAGGCAAGCATTGTTGATTCTCTCGCATGTATGTCCCTTCCTTCTGCACTGAAGATGTTCCCATCTTCACTGTTACTGCTGGCCCTACTTCGGCTTCACCTATCAATCCATTCTGCACTCTCCAAGGAATGTGATCAGAAAGAATAAATCAAATGCTGTCACTTTGAAGGCACCTCCCACACTTCCTACTTTAGTGTTAATAAAAATCTAAACTTTCTTATTTTAACCCAGCCTCTCTTCTAAACTCATCTGTTGCAACTCCAGTCATCAGAAACTTTCAGACCCTTTTTCCTTTTTAAGGCTTTTTGAAGTGTCATAATTCTGATTTCCACTTTTTAAATGGCTTTAAATTCCTATTTCAACTAAGTTATCTTCAACAAGAAGTCATTCTGAAAATTTTCCTGAAATTAGGTATCCAGGTAACTGCATTCAAAAAAAAAGGTAGTGTGTGTTGTAGCTATAGCTCCTCATTCCTCACTTCTCTTTTTTTTTTTCCAGTTCCTATTATAAGAAATGATTGCCCTGTTCATTTGTTTATTTACTTTACTTATTTCCTGGAAAATGTGTGCCTTGCTAACCAACTTATCTTTATCTTTGACCAATTTAATGATGTAAACAATCAATATATATTTTGGAATCAATGGATACATGCTTGCAGAGGCATGGTCCAGGAGTACCCACGAGGACAGCATGCTCCAGCAGATGCTATAGAACACATAAAATTTTACATGGTCAAGTAAGAATAAGAAGCAAGTAATTGATGTTTAATCAATAGATAAGAAAGAAAAAATATAATAATAAAAATTATGGAAAAAGAAAATTAAACTGGAATCTGACTACAGATTTTTAGAGTTTTATTTTTTGAAAGTAGGAAGTCATCTTATATTAAATCACATTAGAAAAATAACTAGTGTCCGCTTGGGGGAATATGTTGGATAAAGCTAAAAGTCTTAACACAGTCTACTTCGGATGCTATTAGAATAGTTCAGATAATTAATGATACTCATTACTCAATAAGTAAGAACAGTAGATTGATTCAGCAGATATCACTCCAGTTGAAGCTTCTGAATGCATTATTAATTAATTAATTTATTTATTTACTCAATGAAGATATTGACTAAGACTTTTTTATCTTAAGAACTGCTAGAAATCTAGGTAGGTTCAAGAGATGGATGAAACATTCAAACCTTGGCCTCTCAGCTCTTTGACCTCCTTAATCACAATATGTTCTCCTTTTCTAAACATTTACCATCAACCCTCACATTCACAATCTCTAAATTAAAATCACCTTAAAGTGCTCCTACATTGACATCAGACACTTTCAAATCCTTTGGACTATCTACTCAAAACCCTGAACTTCTCCTGTATTTGAAATCTTGGAAATATCCAGTCATTAGACACTTTTTGTCTTTAATTCAATTATAAGAAATGCTTAAACAAATTCCCATATTAGGTTTAATATAATTTAAACATAATCATTTTTCTCCCTCCCCAAGGAGATTAACTGACCATGATTATTTTCAATTGTCTTAAAATACAGCTGATATAGCTTGGTTGTGTCCCCACCCAAATCTCATCTTGAATTGTAGTTCCCCTAATCCCCATGTAGAGTGGGAGGGACCCAGTGGGAGGTAATTGAATCATGGGGCCAGTTACCCTCATGATGTTCTCATGATAGTGAGTGAGTTCTC
Organism: Homo sapiens; assembly: GCF_000001405.40. Taxonomy (NCBI): domain Eukaryota; kingdom Metazoa; phylum Chordata; class Mammalia; order Primates; family Hominidae; genus Homo; species Homo sapiens. The sequence continues at coordinate 134,074,818 of NC_000004.12, read as the reverse complement.
ACAAGATCTGGTAGTTTTATGAGGGACTTTTCCACTTTTTGCTTCCACCTCTCTCTCCTGCCACCATGTGAAGAAGGACTTGTTTCCTTCCCTTTCTACCATGATTGTAAGTTTTCTGGGGCCTCACAAGCCCTGCAGAACTGTGAATCTCTTTCCTTTATAAATTACCCAGTGTTGGGTATTTCTCCATAGCAGCATGAGAATAAACTAATACAGTAAATTGGTACTAGGAGCAGTGGAGCTGTAAAGATACCAGAAAATGTGGAAGCGACTTTGGAACTGGGTAACAGGCAGAGGTTAGGACAGTTTTGGGGGCTCAAAATAAGATAGGAAAATGTGGGAAAGTTTGAAACTTCCTAGAGACTTGGAGGGCTCAGAAGACAGGAAGATGTGGGAATGTTTGGAACCTCCTAGAGATTTGTTGAATGGCTTTGACCAAAATGCCAACAGTGATATGGACGATGAAGTCCAGGCTGAGGTGGTCTCAGACGGAGATGAGGAACTTGTTAGGCACTAGAGTAAAGATCACCCTTCATATGCAAAGAGACTATTGGCATATTGCCCCTGCCCTAGAGATCTGTGGAACTTTGAAATTGAGAGAGACGATTTAGGGTATCCAGCAGAAGAAATTTCTAAGTGGCAAAGCATTCAAGAGGAAGCAGAGCATAAAAGTTCAAAAAATGTGCATCCTGACAATGCAATAGAAAACAAAACCCTATTTTCTGGAAAGAAATTCAAGCTGGCTGCAGAAATTTGCATAAGTAATGAGGAGTCAATTGTTAATCACCAAGACAACAGAGAAAATGTCTCCAGGGCATGTCAGAGAACTTCTCAGCAGACCCTCCATCAGGCCTGGAGGCCTGGGAGGGATAAATGCTTTTGTGGACTACACCCAGGGCTCCCCTGCTCTGTGCAGCCTCGGGACATGGTGCCCTGCATCCCAGCTATTAATACCTCAGCTTCAGCCATGGCTAAAATGGCCCAATGTACAGCTCAAGTTATTGCTTCAGAGGGTGCAAATTCCATGTGTTGGCAGCCTACGTGTTGTGTTAGAGGGCTCACAGAAGTGAAGAATTTAGATTTGGGAACCTCTGCCTAGATTTCAGAGATATATGGAAATGCTTGGATGTGCAGGCAGAAGTCTGTTGCAGGAGCAAAGCCCTCATGGAGAACCTCTGCTAAAGCAGTGTGGAAGGGAAATGTGGGTTGGAGCCCCCACACAGAGTCCCCACTGGGGCACTGCCTAGTGGAGCTGTGAGAAAAGAACCACCATCCTCCAGCCCCCAGAATTTTAAATCCACTGACAGCTTGCACTGTGCACATGGAAAAGCCTCAGACACAACACCAGCCCGTGAAAGCAACCAGCAGGGGGCCTATACCCTGCAGAGCCACAGAGGCAGAGCTGCCCAAGGCCATGGAGCCTACTTCCATCAGCGTGACCTGGATGTGAGACATGGAGTCAAAGGAGATCATTTTGGAACTTTAAGATTTAATGGGTGACCTATTAGATTTTTGACTTGCATGGGGCCTATAGCCCCTTAATTTTGGCCAAGTTTTCCCATTTGGAACAGGTGTATTTACCCAATGCCTGTACTCCCATGTATCTAGGAAGTAACTAGCTTGCTTTTGATTTTACAGCCTCATAGGTGGAAGGAACTTGCCTTGTCTTATATGGGACTTTGGACTTGGACTTTTAAGTTAATGCTAAAATGAGTTAAGACTTTGGGGGAATGTTGGAAGTACCAGATTGTGTTTTAAAATGTGAGGACATGAGATTTGGGAGGGGCCAGGGTGGAATGATATGGTTTGGCTGTGTCCCCACCGAAATCTCATCTTGAATTTTAGTTCTCATAATCCTTATGTGTCATGGGAGGGACCCACTGGGAGGTAATTGAATCATGGGGGCAGTTACCCTCATGCTG